>NC_000012.12:28916991-29069686 GCF_000001405.40 Homo sapiens | reverse complement strand
AGAGCAGATTGTCTTTTAGAATGTGGATCTATTCCACATGTGCCTCATCTATTCAGTTGAAGGACTGAATAGAACACAAGACTGATCTCTCCCCAGCTAGAAGAATTTCTGCCAGCAGAAGACCTTTGGAGTTGAATGGTAGCATTGACTTTTCCCTGGGTCTCCAGCCTGATGGCCTGCCTGGCATATTTTGGATTTGCCAGCCTCCATTACTATGAGAACCAATTCCTTAAACTCTGTCTCTTTCTCTCGGTATATAGATACATATATACATATGGTTCTGTTTCTTTGGAGGACCCAGACTAATATACCAGGTATGAGACTACATAGAGGTTGGAGAGAAAGTATCAGCTGGTAATAAAGAGTATGCTTCTTTCTGGAGGATCTTCTGTGCACATATTCTTCAGGAATTTAGCTGGGTTCTGGGGACAATGGGAAGTGGATGGTCAATGATTCAGAATCCCCAATTCCGAATATCTCTTTTACCAGGAGATGTTATTAGCCATTGCGTACCCTATAACTGTCTTTGGAAAAAATCTTGCACTTTAAAACAATGGTTGTTTTGGTTTAAATAACACAGTCTTAAACTACTAGTCCAACAGTATGCTTTCTGTGGATATTAATTAGTAGATTATTTTCTTCTTCAATCAATTATAACAGACAAGGAAATAATACATATAAATTGCAGTTGCTTAGAATGGATGCAGAGCTACCAAAAGCTAGATAAATAAGAGTTCTGTACAATGTGGCTGTTTTGAAACAGATTTGCAGAAGGCGTAGAACATTTAGAGGGCAGATATGGATTTTTTTAGTGAGAAATATAAGGAAAGGCAGATAATATTTTACATAAGACCTCATGAACATTATGTTATTCATCAATCAAAATAATGATTCTTGGAGATAACTTTCTCTGATAACCAAGAAAGAAAAGGTACCATTATGGTCTCAGTTTCAGTTTAAGTTCTTAGATGTAAACAATAGAAGCTGTGTATGGGAAATGCATGTGGAACAATAAGTTATTTTATTAGTAAATGGATGTAGGATTTGGAGAAGATAATTACAATGTCTAAAGTTGGTATAGAATTAATGTCTGGAAAGAACCCTTATAAATTCACAAGTAAAAGGTAGTGAAACAAAAAGAAAAATGGACACAGGATATGTCACGAAAGGAGAAACTCAAATAGCTAACAAATACATATATAACAAGTAAATAAACAACTGGTAATCAGGGAAACAACAGCACTTCGCATCAGTCAGAGTATGAAAAATAAGAAAGTAGGATGATGCCAAGTGCTGGCAAGAGTGCGGGGAAGTAGGAAACCACGCATACCTGATGAGAGTAGAGACGGATATACACATTTTGCATATGTCCTATCTAGTAATCCTCCTCATAACATAGACTCCAGAGAAATGAATATATATGTCCATGAAGGGGTATGCTTGAAGATGTTTATTGTGGCATTGTTACAGCAGGGAGCTGGAGGCAACAACCAAATTTGCCATCATTAGGAGAAGAGATAAACTAAATACGATAACGATTATTATGTATTACTGTGTGGCAGAGGCAATGAATTACAGTACCTACAAAAACACAGATAGATCTTATTATCAGAGTGTTCAGTGAAAAAAAATAGAATGATATGCAGCTTAGCACCACTTATGTAAATTTAAAAATCACATGATACCCAAAACGATGACATAGGTTTTCAAAGAAATACACACACACACACACACACACACCCACATATCCCTGTACATATACCAACACATTACAGTAGGTATCCTTGCTGGTGGTAGAATGAAAGAATCAAAAGGTGAAACAATGGAAGAAATAATGAGATAAAGCAGGAAAATAGTCTTCTAGCAAGACAGCATAGGAGTACAATTAAATCAATTTCTGTTTGGATTTGAGTTCCAAAAGAAAAAAAAGGAAATTAAAAAGAGGATGCTGGGTAAATTTATAAATTTCTAGGAGAAATAGAGAACCATGTGCTTGGTGGCTGTGTGACCTGGAAAAATACTCACAGTCTTGTCACAGACTGGTTCAGTGAGGAAGCTGCAGTAACTTCCTCTGAGCACTGGACACTTTAGCTTGCAGTGCCAATCCCGCTGGCACTGACTGTTGGATGCTGCCACCCAGACCTCTGCACTGTTGGCCCAAGAACTTTGTCTTCCTGCTTCAGAGAGAATCCTTTTCAGTTACTTACTACCTCCCAGTTCAGAGTCAGGGATGAGAGTTACCAGTTTAATGGTGCCCATGTCATGTGTCCATAAAAGAAATGGCAGATATCCACCATGGACCCCAAAACATTGAAGTCAAGTTTTCAAAAACAAGTAGACATTCAAACATGAAATGGATGCTGATTGAGTATTAGAATTAGAACAAGAAAAGGAGATGTCTTTTACTACCCTCTTTGCAGATGAAGTTAATGTGAATGATGATGAACAGACTTTCCTCAGAAGACTGTTTCTTCTTGTGATTTCCAGAGGGATATATTGATGTGGGGGATAAATATGAAATGAAGAGTGGGCTTGTGAACCTGTGCCATCACCAAACTTTGTTAAACACCATAATCGTTTGTGATTTAGTCTTAGGGATAAACAAAGTCATATTAAGGCATGCTTAGCTCCCTTCATAATATATCATGAAATAAGCATTTTAAAATTAAGTATAAACTGGCATTTCAATTTTGTCATACCAGCTACTGTGCCCATGTGTCCTGCAATGTATATAAATTATGTAATTTAGGAGTATGGGACCCCAATATAAAGAGATAAATGAAAGGGTACACTAGGAACATGGACAGGCAGGAAAGATGGTGAAAGAAACAAGTGTCGTGCAAGGATTTACCTAGAGAAAAGAAGGTGAAGGAGAAGAATAGTATTGGAAAAGGATAGTTTTAAAGTCTAATTGGAATTATCCAGTAGCTTATTGGACTTACATCTCACATTTTCTACCTTCTATTATTTTATAGCCACTATATAATTTTTATTCTCTCTGTAAAGGAGGCCTAGAAAAGAGAAAGATGTGACTCTCAAAATAATAAAATGTTTGCTATCGCTATAAAACTTTTTAATGGAATAGGAGATTTGATTTAAACATGATTTAAAATGGCTAGCAGCTTTTATTAAAATAAATTGTAAATTGTCCTAGTTCCTCATTGTCTTTTCCTCTTTTGTTCTTATGACATATTTAACTACTATTATTCTTCATAGAATGAGTCATAGATGAGTCATCTTCATTGAAATGAGAGTGTTCTGTGTCTTGGCATCTGTGTGTGTCTGTGTGTGTGCACATGCGCATGTGTGAAAACAAGTGTGTGTGTAAATCAGCCAGGGTCTTGGCAAAAACCAGAGTTCATTCATAGAACTCAAATGAAGAGACTTCAATAGTATAAGGGGAAGCAGGCTTAAGAGGACAAACAAGGCACAATTTGTCACTTAGACTAGTAACAATGAGAAGCAATTGTTTCTTTGGGAACAGAGGAGGACATAGAGTGACCAGATCCCAGTGGGAGTTGTGATTGGAAGGGACACAGCTGCCACCAGAGATAATAGTGCCAAGCAGAGAGAGGTCAGGAAAGAAATGTCCCAACATTTTTCTTCTTCTGCCTTCCAATCCCCTGCTGGCCCATCTGCTTGTCAAATCCAACTGGAAGTCAGCCATTAGGGAGTTCTCAAAGTGCAATTCATTAAGAGCAGCCTACTTAATACAGAGAGGGGAAGAAAAGAGTGGAGAATGGATCTAAGTGAGGAAATAGATAGAGACTGGCACATTCCATTGCTTTGTCCACAAAGCATCTATTCTTGCCCATTATTTAGAAGATGAAGATGTTGTCATTCCTAACACCAAGGAGACACAAAATCCCTACCAGATAGTGATGGAATGATGTCAGTCACACATTAACTTCAACTGGAACTTAAATTGTAGCATTCTCCCCCATCACACAAACCTCTCACACAAAGTATCAGGGAGAGGGGAGAAAAATAATCAATCAACACAAAATATGCATAATGACTACAGTTTCTAGAACTGTATCCTGTTATTAGACCAAGGCTTATCATCATATTTTTTTCTTCCATCATCCATTCAACATTTCCCTTATACTCTGCTTATATATTCCACTTAGGCAGAGGTCTTTATCAGGTAGGCAACAGATTTCATTTCTGAAAAATCTGTTATCATAGTCCTGTCTCTATTGAGTTGCTGCAATTTCCTATTGAGAAATGGCTTACATGCAGGTGGCTTAAATTGGGAAGTGATCAAAGGAAGCAGTAATGAGAAACAAGGGAAGAAAAACAGGGAAGAGATGAAGCCATTACAGGGTAGGGGGTGCATTGTCAAGTTGGCTATGCTATGGGTGACTGGTACTCAGTTCTGCAGGTCCATCTGAGGAGCCTTTAGAATTGCATCTTAGAACTGGCTTTTCAGGGTATGAAAAGCTAAGAATGTATTATTTGACTCTTTTGCCAGTCTGTCAAAGCATTTTCTCATATGTGTTAATTTCCATAGGTTAGATGTGAAAAAGTACTGAGTAGATTCCCATAGGTGACCCATGCTGTGTGTCAAAGACACACAGGACAGGAAGCAAAAGATACACAGCAAAGGAATGAGCTGAGGTGCTGGCAAATTTGCAGTTGCATAAAGCTAGTCTGTGACTTGTGGAAATAGCCACAGTAGCAGTGGCTGGAGTTAAGGGTGGAGCTGTGCGGAAAAGAGGTAGGATACAAGATATATCTGATGCGTTACATAATATAATGCAAACACCAAGTGTGGAAGTAATAATGACTAACAAGGTTGAGAGTGGAGTCCAGAAAACCATGGAAGAGACATTTAACTTGAATATAATTTTGAAATACGATTATCAGTCTTGGAGGGGGCGGGCATTTTAGAGGGGCCAGTATGTGCAAAGGCCCATGTAGTATGCAAAAACTAAATCAAAGTGCTGGTTTTCTCAGCATCCCAGATCTACCTGTTCTTTTTTATTTCATGATCTTTTAATTGTATGTTAAGATATTTGAAAAGTGAGCATATCCTCAGATGATGTGATTTTATCATCCATTTCCTGATCTATACAAAAAGCACATTAGACCATGTAACCTCTCAGGCCTTTTCTGGCTCCTCAGTCTTATGCTTTCTGCACATTATCTTGAACATATTGACAGCATGATACATAGGCAGGTAAAATGAGTAGCTGCTGTAAATCAGTCTATATGGATGTGTAAGCAGTTTGTTTATACAGTGATAATTACCTGTAGAATAGCCTAAAAATAGGTTCTGGAAGAATAAATGTGGAAAAATGTGCAGGCTACATTATTCCTTGTGCTTACACACTCATAATAACTGACAGTAGAAAACTCACCACTTGTAGTGCGTAAGCAGTCTTGGTCAAGCAGCAACATAAATATAACCTGGATAAAAATATTTTGTTTTAAAATATCTTCATCTTAAAATGTTGTTTGCTTGATCAGGTAAAGGGTGGATTAGCAAGAATAATATGAACTGGGAAGGTTTGATACTATTTTTAAGATTATGGTACTCTCTGCTGACTAGTTCTCTTGTCATGGGGAGAACAGTAAGATAAATAAGCTGCTTATAAAAACTAAATATTCTTCACACTGAATAATAAAAATTGTATGTTTGTTAGCTTTTTCAGCTAGCAATTAATAGAAATTGTTTTGGATAAAGCTAAAGAGCGTAAACAAAAGCACTTATATACATAAATGAACATTTATACAATACACCAAATATGATAAGTGCAAGGTACTACTTGCTCTGAATTCTATAAAACTGTGATCCACTTCAGTTTTTCTCAGATCCATTAAATTATAGAAGAAAACAATTATATTGTAATTAGAAACACTTCTGAATAATTTCCAAATCTGTCAGCTAGTAATAGACACAGCTCTTTTATTCAAGGTGATCTAAACATTGACACACTATCATAATTCATGTTAGCATATCTCATAAATTCATCTTCAGAGCTTTTCAAACTCATAGTCTCTGTAAAGAAATATACGGAGTAAGACTAAACTCTCTAGGTACATCTAAAGCAAAGGCCGTCTCTCCTGCTTTTCTGGATGCTCCAGGCCAAATATCAGTGGTTTTGTTAAGCAGCATTAACAAAACCTTTAAAAATGTTATTGTACCAATGAATAAGTAGAATTTGAAATACAAAGAATTATCATTTAAATTAGTGCTCCTAAAAATGAAATATTTATGTAATAACAAAATATGTACAAGATCTATTTATGAGGAAAAGTACAAAGCTCTAATGAAAAATATCAAAGAACAAAAGACATGGAAAGATATTCCACGACCTTGAATAGGAAGACTCAACATTGCCATGATGTCAGGTCTTCTCATTTTGATGTATAGATTCAATGCAATCCTGATAAAAATTCCAGCAAGTCATTTTGCAGATATTGATAAACTGATTCTAGAGTTTATAAGGAGGGGCAAAAGACCCAGAATAGCCAAACCAATGCTGAAGGAGAAGAACAAAGTTGGAGGACTAACACTGCTTGGCTTCAAGATTTACTATAAAGCTACATGCTATGAACTGAATGCATTCCCTTCAAATGTATATGTAGAAATCTTAATCCCCAATGTATGGTATTTAAAGGTGAGGCCTTTGGAAGGTAACTTGATTGTGTGTAGAGCCCTCCCAATGAGATTAGTGCCCTTATTAGAAGATACACAAGAAAGATGATCTTTCTCTCTAGCATGTGAGGACATAGCAAAAAGGTGGCCGCTTGCAAACCAGAAAGAGGGCCTCACTAGATATTACATCTGCAGATGTCGAATTTTGGACTTCTAAGCCTCCAAAAGTGTGAGAAACAAATGTTTTTTGTTTAAGCCACTCAGTCTATGGTAATTTGTTATACCAGCCCCAGCTGACTAAGGCACTGCAGTAATGAAGGCAGTGTAGTATTGACAAATAGATCAATAGAACAGGATAGAAAGCCCAGAAATAGACCCACATAGATATAGTCAATTGACCTTTAATAAAGAAGCAAAGACAATACAATGGAGAAAATATAGTCTTTTCAACAAATCGTGCTAGAACAACTGAACATTCACATGCAAAAAATGAATGTAGACACAGACTTACATCTTTCACAAAAATTATCCCAAAAGGGATCATAGACCTAAATGCAAAGTACATAACTATACAATTTCTAATAGGTAACATAGGAGAAAACCTAGGTGACCCTAGATATGGTGATGACTTTTTAGATACAGCACCAAAGGTATGATCCATGAAATAAATAATTAATAAGCTAGACTTTATTAAAATGACAAACTTTTGGTCTGTGAAGAACAATGTCAAGAGAATAAGAAGACAAGCCACGGACAGGGAGAAAATATTTGTGAAAGACACATCTGATCAAGAATTGTTATCCAAAATATACAAATAACTCATAAAACTGAACAATAAAGAAAGAAACAACCTGATTTAAAAAACGAACAGGCCGGGCACGGTGGCTCACACCTGTAATCTCAGCACTTTGGGAGGCCGAGGCAGGCAGGTCACAAGGTCAGGAGATATAGACCCAACATGGTGAAACCCAATCTCTACTAAAAATACAAAAATTAGCTGGACCTGGTGGCGCACGCCTGTAGTCCTAGCTACTCAGGGGGCTGAGGCAGGAAAATCACTTGAACCCGGGAGTCGGAGGTTGCAGTGAACCGAGATTGCGCCACTCTAGCCTGGCAACAGAGAGAGACTCCGTCTCAAAAAAAAAAAAAAAAAAAAAGAAACAAAAGCTCTGCACAGCTCACTAAAGAAGATATACAAATAGCAAATAAGCATATGTAAAGATGTTCAGTATGATTCAACATTAGGGAATTGCAAAGCAAAACACACCTATTAGAATGGCCAAAATTCAGAACACTGACACCACAAAATGCTAGTGAGGATGTGGAGCAACAGGAACTCATTCATTGCTTGTGGGAATGCAAACTGGTACAGCCACGTTGAAAGGCAGTTTGGCAATTTCTTACAAAAGGTAAACATATTCTTTCCATATGATCCAGCAATTGTACTCCTTGATATTTATCCAAATGAGTTGAAAACACACAAAAACCTGCACACAAACATTTTTAGCATCTTTATTCATAGTTGCCTAAACTTGGAAACAATCAAGATCTCCTTCAGTAGGTAAGTGGATAAACTGTGGTTTATCCAGACCATGGGATATTCTTCATCACTACAAAAATAAATGAACTATCAAGTCATGAAAAGATGGGAGGAACCTTAAATACATATTACTAAGTGGAAAAAGCCAAACTGGAAAGGCTACCTACTGTATAATTCCAACTATATAGCAGCCTGGAAAAGGCAAAACTATGGAGACAGTACAAAGATCAATGCTTGCCAGGGTAAGGGGGAGGAAGAGATTAATAGACGGAACACAGAGGATTTTTAGGGCATCGAACTATTCTGAAGGATAATGTCATGGTGGATACATGTCATTTTACATTTGGCAAAACCTGCAGAATCTACAACACCAAGAGTGAATCCTAATGAGAACTAAGGACTTTGGGTGATAATGATGTGTCAATGTAAGTTCATCGATTATAATAATGTACCACTGTGATGTGGGATGGTGATAGTATGAAAGGTTGTACATTTGAGGGGACAGGTAATATATGAAAACTCTCTGTACTTTCTAGTCAATTTTAAAAAATGAAGCTTACTGCTTAATACAAATTTTTGTTGTGATGATACTGAGGTCGAATTAATACTTCCTCTAAACAGTAATTACTAGATACTTATTTCTCATATTTTCCATATTTCTGGGTTTCACATACTTTCTTATTACCATCATAGTCTCCAGATGAATTCTAATAGGAAAGAGTATTGTACATTTAAGGAGAAGAGAAAAAATGTATTTAAGTTTGTGCATATTTAGCTAAAAGCTTTTAATTTTCTCATTATTTCGATTGTAAACTCCTTTAGAAGAAACTCCATGTCTTATACATGTTTCATTTCTTTCTGATGTTGCTTAAGTTTTATCTACTCATATCTTAAGCATTTAGAGGGAGTATTAAATAGAACACAAACCATACCTAAGACAACAAAGTATTGGTAGCTCCAAACTAATTGTCACTAGACAGTTCAACTATACCAACTATAGTTTAGAGAAATGAATCTATAAGTGACTCAATGTCTCAAAACTATTGAAAATCAAAGTCAAGATGCAAATTTGGGGCTTCAGTAAAAGAAATACATAATATTTGTGAACTTATTTTCTCACTACATTAATGGTGAGTTATTTCATTCATGGGCAAATATTTGTGGTGTTTAGGGGTAAAGTGAAGGTTAAGAGAAGATTGTACAAGTTGCTGTCATTTATCTGCATGCATCAAAATCACTTCATGCTGTTTCTTTTTATTAACAGAGTCTAAAGTGATTCTCTTGCCAGAGATATCTTTATCACTGGCTTTCAACATACTGGGGATTTTCATTATACATTATGATTTTACCCTATTTTAAAAGCATATTTATGTTATCTTAGACTGTGATCTTCTATTAGCACATTTGCGTGTATTTAGATTGATTAGCGATTTTAGTCACTGAATTACTTTCAGAGTCTGAAGAGAAATATTACAAATGCCAATGATGTTTTTCTGTGCTCATGTCCCCTTGTTAGAGAATCTGTATCATATAGTTCCACCTGCCCTGGACCATGTGGCCTTTCTCTCATAACCCACAACCCTTACAGTTTATTGAATCAGTCATTGGTGTAATACGAAAAAGCTAACCTAAGTGTTGGGCTTATTGGATCAATTTTTTCTCTCGAGAATGTCAAGTACAGCCATGGCAAATGAAGTTGTTTCTTTTAAGCACTTGAACTGGTAGGTGACAAAAAGTCAGGTAGTTGATGTAAACCCAAGTTTGAGTTAAGTGAGAGTAAAGGAGAAAGAGCTGGTCAGTAGGGAAAAGGAGGATGAAACAGACATCCAAAAAGAGGATAAGATGAGGGACCACACAGTCAGAAACAGAGACAGAGAGATGCATATTGCCTTGGCTTTTTAGGATCTTTTGGTTAATGGCCCTGGTTGGCAATGAGGACTCTGACATCAGAGTTCTGTGATATATTTATATTTTCTTCTAACTAAGTCACTCTTTTTGTAAATCTTTAATAAGATCTTGCAGGAGGTTATCTCTAAGTCAGGAATACATGTCTGAAGAGTGATTTTTTTTCTCAAGGTCAAGTGCACAAAGAGAACAAAAGAAAGAGAAGATGAGAAAGTAAAAAATTCAGAGAGCAGGGTAGTATGAGGTCTTATACAAATATGGAGTCCATATACTGTATCTTTCAAACTAGGACAACAATGGAAGTGAAATGGAGGACTTTCAATAGTTATGTTGATCCAATGGACTTAAACCAGACTGTCCTCTGTAGCCATGGTGTGTATGTGGTCATCCAAGGCATAAAAGAATCTTGTATAGCTAAAGGCAACGAAGGCAATGGTGGCAGGAAGGAGACTAATATCCAGAGGGAGAAGAGGCACCTGGAGACTTCCTACTCATGGGAAATCACTAAAGATAGCCATTAAAACATCATTGCTAATTAAGTGTTAACTTTTTTTTTTTTGAGATAATCTTGTTCTGTCATTCATGCTGGAGTGCAGTGGCATGGTCTCGGCTCACTGCACTGCAGCCTTTGCCTCCCGAGGTTCAAGCGATTCTCCTGCCTCAGCCTTTCCAGTAGCTGGGATTACAGGCACCTGCCACCACGTCTGACTAATTTTTTTTTTGGTATCTTTAGTAGGGATGGGGTTTTGCCATATTGGCCAGACTGGTCTCAAACTCCTGCCCTCAAGTAATACCCGCGCCTCAGCTTCCCAAAATGCTGGGATTACAGGTGTGAGCCACCACACCTAGCCTGTTAAAGTCTTAATTTCTGTTTAATTCATTTTGAATTTAAGGTTTCATGTTTTTGTTCCCTGCTAAAAGAATACAACAATTAAGATTGATTTGTCATTGTACAAAAATACGTTGAAGAATACAGACGCATTCTAAAGTAACAGAAGTTTTAGAAATTAGATATGTTAGAATTGCAATGGATTAATTAGTTCATACAGGAGGTGAAATTGGGAAATTGGGAAAATCCACAACCAACTTAGACATTTTATATTAACTTAAAACATATAAATGGATCTTCATGCACAGTTTTTTTTTCCTTTGGTAGATTAAGTATAGGTCCACTGTTGGAAGCTCAATGTTATTTTTCTTCCATTAAGCATTGATGCATCACCTTCAATGCCCAAGTTCAATTTCTTCACTGTGAAAGAAGAAATTTAAAGAGGAAAAACGGTCAAAGGGCAGAATCCTAGATTTTTATTGCTGTTTCCCTTAATTTGTTTATGTTTGTCTGCCTCTACCTAATTGGTTGTGGTTTTTATATGTCATTTACATTCATTGAGACTTTCCAAAGTTTTCCACTCAATTTTCATAGAAAAATTTTCTCACTCATAGTTGATAGCTTTTTGTAATATTTAATTAAATTGTGAAATCATCATAATAAATTTAAGCAGCATAAACATGTTTGGGAGAAATGCAACTGAGTCTTGGTACATGTGCAGCACGTGAGCGTAGGGGTGGGCAGGCTTCCGAAGCATTTGGTGAGACTTCATTGCCAGTCAACATGTGTTGTAGTGGGAATGAAGAGCTTGAGTAATCTGGTGAATTGGTTAAGGGCAAGTCTGAGGTTAAGTTTCTACCACATTATGTTAGAAAAATTACTTCATGTGAAGAAGATGGAAACATTTGGACATTCAGAATCCTGTGTTTTTGATTTTAAATGTTTATTAGAGTTTTAAAAATATATTTGTGAAAATAAGTAAGAAATAAAACAAACCATGTTTGGTGGAACAATGCATATCACTATGCAGAGCAAACAACACTGGGCCATTCGTGAATCCTCTGGAAAAGATCGCTTCAAATTCGATTATGAGGAAGATTCCTTTCACCAGCACCGTTTTCAGTATTTTTTGTTGTTGTTCCAGAAGGTGAAAAATGTCTCTAAGTTTGTATCTAAAGCGCATTACCAGCCATCAGGCAATGCAATTGTGATTCCCAGTCCAGTGGGAGTTAACACTTCAAGTAGTGAAAGGAGGTACAAAGGCCTCAGCCATGTTTGCACTGGCTCAGAGCTGGAGAAACTGTACATAAATCAACCTAGAACACACATGCAACCCTGGAAATAGGTTGTTAGAGTGAGTTACCATTTTAGAGACGTGAACATTGATTACTATCAATTTCAGAAAAAAAGTGTCTCCCAGAATGCTTGCTTGTGTGGGTTCTCTGCAGCAACTTTATAGACTTCATGTCACCCAATCCTCTTATCACAACTATGTGATAGGCACTTTGATCTCTACTTCACATTCAAGAAAACTGAGGCTCAGAAAATTTAGGTTAATTGCTAGGGGTCAAACAGCTAGTGAGTGACTGATACAAGGTCAAGCTTTTTTCTTTCCACACAGCTTGTTCCCTTCCTGGCATTAAGTGTCCATATGTGCAGGCCTGGAAGATGTAAATACGCTGAAACTAACTGGGCATTGCCCTTTAAATTTTGAATGAACCTTTTCTTTATAAAGGTTCTACATGCTATGATTTGTGTAAATCTTCAGTGTTAGTAATAATACCAATAATGATAATCATCCTTTCAAAACTGATTTCTCATATTCATGTATTAGCTTAAAGGTAAAGGCTTCCTAATCCTTGTCATGTAAATAGAAAATCTCTGCCTAAATTATTATAACTTAATGAGCTCAGTTAACTTCAAGTTATTATGTTAAGACCAGATTATTCAAAGTTGTTATTCATTTATAAGACTACTAATTATCAGTAGTATTATGTTGTTTATGAAATATTAATACAATAAGTGCACTAATGCCTGGAAACAAGTGCGTTGCTTAGATAATCCCTGGAGATTGTTTTGGGACTGCGGTTGTGAATAGTGTTTTTCTCTTTATTAAAGAAACAAAACAAAGAGGTTACTAACATCAGAGGAAAGGTATAGATTTTAATTTAATTTCAGTGAGGAGAAGACAAACAAAACAAAACTAGGGCCTGTTTGCCTCAAGTGTATTTGCTATTTCTAAAATGTAACTCAAACATGACATATGAATTAGTAGACCAAGGCTCCCAAGAGTTTTCAAGTCTTACATGAAAAGTAATAGAATGAAGAATAATACAGGGACTTCTAGCTTGTGACAGAGTTGCTGATTCAGAAAACAGAAAATAATAAAAAGCAGTTTTCTTGACTGTTTTGCAGAAGCCCAAGGTAAGTTGACACACCCTGAGGTGATCACTCATGTAAGAATTGGTGATGCCCATTCTTCACACTTGCATTTCCTCCACACGTTTGCTTGTGCCATTTTCCCCTCCGAGACTGTCTTCCTTATCCCCAGTTTCATGAGTTCAATCTTTCATGAACAGCTCATTATCAAACCTCTTCCCTGAAGCATTCTACGAACATCTTAGAAGTTTTCTCTTCATTCTCTAAATTTCTGGGGAATATAGGATTTTAAAAAATGATATATCTATATCAGGCACTGACTTAATGTATAGTTATTTATCTATATATCTTAACTCCCCTGTTTGTAAATAAAATCTGGAGCAAAAGAAATTTAACTTATATTTTATTGTATTTTCATTGTAACTTACAAAAGGAAGATGTTCAAAAAGGTGATATTAATGGCTATCGTATGAATAAATGACTGTGGAATGAATATATGTTTTCCCTCTGATATCTTTCCAACTAGTGGCTGATACCTGAAATCCAACTATTAGTGATACATTTCACTGGCGTAAACACTAGGTTTTTCCATAAAGAAAAATAATTCAACATTAGTCAGTGATCACTAATTGGTGGGAATGAATTTATAGATATAATCTATGTCTGAGCCATTATGGGAGGATGATGCTTTTGGGTAGTGGGAAGGGAAGGGCTACTAAAAGAGAGGAAGATTTACAGAAAAAGAGACACAAAGCCTTCTAGGCAAGGCAGAGGTAGATTTATGTCTATGCTTTCTCTAAACCCTGCCAGGTATAGATAGTCTCATGGGTGAGCTCATCTAAGAAAACATTTTTTAAAAAAGGTTTTTGTTCTTAAACTTAATTCCAACATGAATTACTCAAATCTAAGTCCTTCCTGGAACTTGGTACATATTGGCAAGTTTGATTCCTTCCAACTTTTTCAAACTGACCAGATCATTTGTTTGGAAGCAGCTAGATTTGTCTTCACCACATTAAAACATTTGTCTTCCTTCCGTCAATCTGTGGCAGGACACAGTTGTTATGGCTGTCTTGTCGATTAAGCCCATTTGGGGCTTTCTAATTGAAGCTTCAAATAGTGGCATCTGTTCTTCATCATCTTAATCTGTGGTCATTTTCCTGAAAGGCCAAAGATGGCCATTTCATCCTGAGACTGAAAATCAATATGCCTCTAACCTTATGTGGCCCAGATTTTATGAATAACATCCATGGTTTCATTCTGAAATGTTCCACCTTGCTTTGATTCTTGGAAAAATAGAGATCATTCTAATACCCTGCTTTCCAGATGGCTCTGTCTTTAGCCAACATTTAAGCAATGAGCCAGAGCCTGTTTACTAGAACAGTCCTGGGGAAATGCTCTCACGAGTATGCTACTGGGGATGCTGACTTTCCCATCAGATGCCACTGCAAATGACCCTGTGGTCAAATGGAGATTCTGACAGGTTGAGCACTGACAGGCATTTCCTGGCTTGCACAGCCTCAGATAATTTTTCACTGAAGACAGTTTGAATGATGAGCTAATTAATGCTTTCTGATGCTGGTTTATCTTCAGGTTAGACACATGAGATGCTGCAACAAGTCTGTAAATTCAAAGGAATAAAATCATACAACTTCTTATCCCTTTTTCCATGCTTGAATTGTACAATTTGTGAGATTTTTTTCAGGTAGAAGGAGTATATTATGATCACAGATAATCATCATAAGGTACCTTAACTATGCATGAATTACCCTTTTTTAACCTATATAAAGCATTTCATATTTATAGTATTGTTTAATCTTCTCAACAAATGTATGAGAAGAACAACTAAATTCAGAACAACTAAAATTAATCAAATGATTAAGAAATACAATTTATTCTCTCATATAAATAGGAAGATGGAGATAGGACAAATTTTAACTTGGATAATCCCATGGCTTAGCCAAATCAGGTTATATATTTTTACCTTCTTTTTTTCTACTCATCTTCTTGCCTTTGGACTCAGGGTTCCAAGATGGTAGTGGCAGTTCCAAGTGACACAAACAATCACTCTCCAGATATTTATTGGAAATCTGATTTGTGCTGGGCACTGTTCTGGATATTCAGGATATGATGATGGATAAAGTGAATAAAATATCATGTATTTATCTAATTTCTATTTAATGAGGAAAATTTAACCTTGTCCAACAGAAGAAGAGGAATCTCCTGTACTTTATATTTTTAAAAAACATCAGTAAGGAAAGTTGAAGTATAATTTAAATACAATGAAATGTAAAAATCATAAGGATTGACCAGAACTGAAAAATGCATACACATGTAACTACACTGCTATTAAGAGAGAGACCATTTCCATCACTCAAGAAAGTTTCCTCGTTCTCTCAAAACAGTTAATTCTCCACCCTCTCCCTGAAACAGTTATGTTCTTGTTTTTATCACCATAGAATAGTTTTGCCTCTTCTAGAATTTTACATAAATGGAGTCTTTCTGAGATTCATTATGTTGTTCAGTACTTCATTTTTCATTGCTGAATAGTATTCCATTTCATAAATATTTATCCTGATGCTGGACAGTTGGACTGTTTCCAGGTTAGGGCTATTATGATTGAAGCTGCTGTAAATACTCAGGTACAAGTCTCTGGATTTTAGCCATTTTGTAATTATTTCCCTGGTGATTGATGACGTAGAACATTTTCCATGTGCCTATTGGCCATTTGTACATCTCTTTAAATTGAAGTTTCTACTCAAGGTAGACTCACTTAAAAATTGAATGGTTTGTCTTTTTACTATTATGTTACAGAAACACTTTATATTTTAATTATTAATCTTTTGCTTGGCAAACATATTATGGATGTTTTCTTTCAGTTTGAGGCTCACATAATCATGGTCTTAATGATATCTTTAAATAAGAAGAAATACACATTTTAATGAAGTCCAGTATATTATACTTTAAAGGTTATTGCTACCTAGGCCTAAAGAAATCTTTGCCTACCCCAAAGTTTCAGAGGTATTCTCCTATCTTTCTTCCAGGAGCTTCATAGCTTTAGCTTAGTTTTAGTTTTATAACATATAATTTACCTAGAGTAAAATTCACTTTTTTTTTAGTACACAGCTCTGTCAGCTGTAATGGGTACATTAATTGTGTAACCAGCACCAAAATCACAATATAGAACAGTTTCATTACCCAAAAAAAATTCCCAATGCCCCTTTGAGATCAGCTCCTCCCTCCATTCATGGTCCCTGATAACTGCTGATCTGTTTTCAAATATTTGTGACCCTAAAGTTTTGCATTTCTCCAGAATTTCATATAAATGGAACCACACAGGATCCAGCCTTTGGAGCCTAGCTTATTTCACAGAGCATAATATATTTGGACATCACCCATCTTCTATCTTTATCAATAATCAGTTGTCTTTTATTCCTGTGTAATATTCCATTGTATGGATAAAGAGCTTCTCGGTCTTAAGTTGAAGGACAATTGGATTGTTTCTGGCTTTTGATGATTATGAATGCAGTTGCTATAAATATATGCATGCAGGTTTTTGTGTGAACGTAAGTTTTTGTTTCTCTTAGCAGTCAGATCGTTGGGTTATATATGGTAAGTGTAAATTTACCTTTATAGGAAACAAACTAGAAGACATCAGCAACATGGCAGAACAGGAGAGTCTTGACTCTTCTTCCACCCACAGATGCACTGAATAAACATTAACATGCTGATAAATTCCCTCTGAGAGAAAGTCAGAAATGAGTTCAGAGATTCTATGCACTGGGCAACTGAGAAAATACCCACATCGAACAGATA
Source organism: Homo sapiens (assembly GCF_000001405.40). Lineage (NCBI taxonomy): Eukaryota > Metazoa > Chordata > Mammalia > Primates > Hominidae > Homo > Homo sapiens. The sequence goes on along the minus strand of NC_000012.12, from coordinate 29,052,616 downwards.
GAAACAGCTGAGGCACACATGGGCTCAAATCCCTCCCTGGATACTGTGCCATATGATGAGGAAGGCATTTCCAACATCCAACTTCTCCCTGAGATTTACAGTCAATTGATTTTTGAGGAAGGTTCCAAGTACCCACAATGAAGAAAGGATGGTCTCTTCAATAGATGCCATTGGGAAAACTGAATATTCACATGGCAAAGAATAAATTTGGAAACTTATCTAAGCCTATACACAAGAATCAACTCAAAATGAATTACATACTTAAACATAAGGCTTGAAATCATAAAACTATTAGAAGAAAAGATAGGGGAAAAGAATTATTATGTTGGTTTGGCCAATGATTTCTTAGATATGACCCAAAACCACATGTATCAAAGAAAAATAGACAAATGGGATTACATCAAACTAAAAAGCTTCTGCACAGCAAAGGAAACAATGAGCAGAGTGAAGAGAAACCCACAGATTGGAAGAAAGTATTTGCAAATCATAGATCTGAAAAGGGGCTAATGTCCAAATTATACAAATAAACAACTCAATAACAAGAAAACAAATAACCTTACTGAAAATGGGCAGGCCGGGCGCAGCGGCTCACCCCTGTAATCCCAGCACTTTGGGAGGCCGAGGCGGGCGGATCACGAGGTCAGGAAATCGAGACCATCCTGGTCAACATGGTGAAACCCCGTCTCCACTAAAATACAAAAAATTAGCCCTGCGCGCTGGGGTGCGCCTGTAGTCCCAGCTACTCGGGAGGATGAGGCAGGAGAATTGCTTGAACCCGGGAGGCAGAGGTTGCAGTGAGCCGAGATTGTGCCACTGCACTCCAGCCTGGAGACAAGCAAGGCTCTGTCAAAAAAAAAAAAAAAAAAAAAAAAGGCAAGGGATATGAGTAGACACTTCTCAAAAGAAGACATAAAAATGACCAACAGATATATAAAAATGCTCAATAGCATTAATTATCAAGGAAATGTGAATTAAAAACACAGTGAGTTATCACCTCACACATGTTAGAATGGCTATTAACAAAAAAATGAATGATAAGTGTTGGTGAGATGTGGAGAAAAGGGAACCCTTGTACACTATTGGAGAGAATGTAAATTAGCACAGCCATTTTAGAAAACAGTATAAAAGTTCCTCAAAAAAAAAAAAAAGAGATAGAACTCTTATATGATTCACCAATCCCACTTCTGGGCATATATCCAAACAAATTGAAATCACTATGTTGACGAGATATCTGCATTCCCGTATTCATTGAAACATTGAATAATGCTTCAATAGTCAAGATATGGAAACAGTCTAAGTGCCTATCAGCACATGAACAGGTAAAGAAAATGTGGTAAATATACACAATAGAACACTATTCATCCTTTAAAAAAAAGAAAATTCTGTCATTTGTGACATTGATCAATCTAGAAGACAATGTGCTAAGTGAAATAAGCCACGCACAGAAAGCCAAATATTATATAATCTTACCTATATGTTAAATCTAAAAGTGTCCGACTCATAGAAGTGGAGAGTAGAATAGTCACTACCAGAGGCTGGGGGCAGGGAGTGGGAAGGCAGAAAAGGAAAAGGGAAAGGTCAGTCAAGGGATACAAAGCTCAGTTAGGCAGAATAAATTCTAGTTATCCATTGCACTGCATGGTGACTATAGTTAAAAATAATATATTGTACATTACAAAATTGCTAAAAGATTAGATTTTAAGTGTTCTCACCACAAAGATACGATAAGTATGTGAGGTGAAAGATATGTTAATTGGCCTAATTTAATAATTCACATTATTCATAGTATCACATTGCGCTCCACAAATGTATACTTTTTTGTAAGTAAAAAATAAAATAAAATTTAAAAGGAGTCTGTCAATTGGTTTTCAAAGGAAACTGTACTAAGATACAGTCCCATGTGCAAAGTATGAGAGTTTCAGTTCCTCTATCTCTTCACCATGACTTGGTATTTTCAATTGTTTCTAAAAGCATTTTTGAAATGTTGATTATATAGATTAACTTTTAAGTGGATTTATTTACCATCTGTATACCCGATTTGATAGTTTTTATTTGGATCTTTTGCTCATGTCTTTACTGATTTCATTTTTATTATTGAGTTTTTACAGTTCTTTTTATATTCTGGATACAGTCTTTTAAAAAATTAATAGGTAACAGTTGTACATATTTTTGGGGTACATGTGTTATCCCGATGCCTCTATAAAATGTGTAATGATCAAATCAGGGTAATTGGGATATCTGTCACCTCAAACATTTATCTTTTGTGTTGGGAACATTACAGTTCTCTCCTACTTATTTTGAAATATACAATAAGTTATTAACCATAATTTCCCTACTGCATCAAATACTAGAACTCATTCCTTCTGTCTCTCTGTATTTTTGTACCATTTAACCAACTTCTCTTCACCCTGCCCCCCACTCTCTTCCCAGGCTCTAGTAACCACCATTCTACTCTCTATCTCCTTGAGATCCATTATTTTAGCTCCCACATATGAATGAGAAGATGTAATATTAGTCTTTTTGAGCTTGGCTTATTTCTCTTAACATAATCACATAATGACCCGCAGTTCTATCCATGTTGCTGCAAATAACAGGATTTTATTTTTTAAATGGCTGAATACTATTTTGTTGTTTGTATATACCACATTTTCTTTATCCATTCATCTGTTGTTGGATGCTTAGGCCGATTTCATATATGGCTATTATGAATAGTGCTGTAATAAACATGAAAGTGCAGAAATATCTTTGATATACTTACTGATTTCCTTTGCTCTGGATATGTACCCAACAGTGGAATTGCTGGATCTTATGGTAGTTCTGTTTTTTGAGGAATCTCCACACTGTATTCCATAATGGCTATAATTTACATTCCCACCAATAGTGTACAAGTGGTACATCCTCACCAGCATTTGTCAGTTTTTTTTTTGTCTTTTTGGTAACAGTCATTCTAGCTAGTTGTGGTGAGAGGGAATCTCATTGTGATTTTGATTTACATTTCTCTGATAATTACTGATGTCTAGCACTTTTTCATATCCTTATTGACCATTTGTATGTCTTCTTTTGAAAAATGTGTATCCAGATTGTTTCCCCCATTTAAAAGTCAGATTATTATTTTTTTGCTACTGAGTTCTTTATATATTCTGATTATTAATTTCTTGTTGGATGGTTGGTTTGTAAATATTTCCTCTCATTCTGTAGGTTGTCTCTTCATTTTTTTGGCTATTTCATTTGCTTTCAGAAACTTTTTAGCTTGATGTAATACCATTTGTCTAATGTTGCTTTTGTTGCCTGTGCTTTTAAGGTCTTACTCAAAAAAATCTTTGCCCAGACCAATGTCTGTAGTTTTCTTCTAGTAGTTTTATGATTTCAGACCTTACATTTAAGCCTTTAAGCCATTTTGAGTTGATTTTTTTTTTAATTTGGTGGAACAGAGGGATCTACTTTCATTCTTCTGCACATAGATAATCAAGTTTCTCCAGTACCATTTATTTAAGATACTGTCTTTTACCCAATATATGTTCTTGGTACCTGATATGGTTTGGCTGTGTCTCCACCCAAATATCATCTTGAATTGCAGTTCCCATAAGCTCCACATGTCGTGGGAGGGACCCGGTGGGAGGTGATTGAATCACGGGGGTGGTTACTCTCATGCTGTTCTCATGATAGTGAGTGAGTTCTTATGAGATCTGATACTTTTCTAAGGGACTTTTCCCTCTTTTCTCAGCATTTCTCTCACCTGCCACCATGTAAGATATGCCTATTTTTCCTTCTGCCATGATAGTAAGTTTCCTGGGGCGTCCCCAGCCTTGTGGAACTGTGAGTCAGTTAAACCTCTTTTCTTTCTAAATTATCCAGTCTCAGATATGTCTTCATAGCAGTGTGAGAACAGATTAACATAGCACCTTTGTTGAAAATAAGTTGGCTGTAGGTGTGTGGATTTATTTTTGGTTTCTCTGTTCTTTTCCATTGGCCTGTGTGTCTGCTTCTTGCCAGTATCATGTACTTTTGGTTACTATAGCTTTGCAACATAATTTGAAATCAGGTAGTGTGATGCCTCCAGTCTTGTTCTTCTTGCTTAGGATTGCTTTAGCTATTTGGGGTATTTTTTTGTTTCCATATGAATTTTATAATTGTTTCTTCTATTTCTGTGAAGAATATTATTGGTATTTTGATAGGGATTGCTCTGAATCTGTAGGCTGCTTTGAGTACTATATACATTTTAACAATATTAATTCTTCCAATCCATGACCACGGAATATTCTTCCATTTTATTGTGTCCTCTTCAATTTGTTTCAACAGTGATTTATAGTTTTTCCTGTAGAGATCTGTTACCTCCTTGGTTAAATGTATTCCTAAGTATTTTGTTTTTGTAGCTATTATAAATGGGATTGCTTTCCTGTTTATTTTCAGATTGATTGCTCTTAGCATATATAAATGTTACTGGTTTCTGTTTGTTGATTTTGTATCTTATAACTTTGATAAATTCATTTATTAGTTCTAAGATTTTTTTTGTGGAGTCCTTAGGTTTTCATAAAGATTAGATCATATTATCTGCAAATAAGGCCAGTTTGACTTCTTCCTTTCCAATTTGGATGCCTTTTGTTTTTTTCTCTTGCCTAATTTTTCTGTCTAAAACTTCCAGTACTATGTTGAATAAAAGTGGTGAAAGTGAACATCCTTGCCTTATTCCAGATCTTAGTGGAAAGGTTTTTAATTTTTCCTTGTTCATTTTATTAGCTGTGGGTTTGTTATAATGGCCTTTATTGTGTTGAGGTATTCTCCTTTGATACCCAATTTTTTGAGTTTTTATCATGAAGAGAGGTTGAACTTTATTGAATGCCTTTTCAGAATCCACTGAGATTATTATATGGTTTTTGTCTTCAATTCTGTTGAAGTAACATATCACATTGATTGATTTGTGTTGTTGAACCATCCTTGCATCCCTGGAATGAATCCCACTTGATTGTGGTGAATGAACTTTTAACTGTGTTGTTGTAGTTGGTTTGCTATTATTTTATGGATGATTTTGCATTTATTTTCATCAGATGTATACAAAATCTTTAGCAGATATGTTATTTACAAATTGTTTCCAGTCTATAAGTTACTCTTAACAGAAGAGTAAAAGCTCTTAATTTGATGGAGTTCAGTTACTCAATTTTTATGGATCATACTTTTGGTATCATATCTAAGAAAACTTTTTCTAATTCTAACTTAGATTTTCCTTTATATTCCCTTCAAATAGCCCAACTTACTCAATTGTGTTTGGATCCTTGTCAAAAATCAGCTGACCAAATAGATGTGGGCCTGTTTCTGGATGTTAAAATCTGTTCCATTGATCTACATGTCTACCTTTATGCTGAGATTATACTTTCTTGATAACTTCAGCTTGATAGCAAATCTAAAATTAGATATTGTGAGTCATCCAATTAAAAAAAAGTTTTGGAAATTCAACTGCCTTTTTCTTTATACAAATTTAGAATCAGCATGTTCATTACTGCACAACAATTTGCTGGGATTTTACTTTTAAATATTATTGAATCTATACATCAGTTTAGGGAAAATTAAAATCTTTATAACTTTGAGTTCTCCAATCAGTAAACATGGTATTTATTTCCACTCACCTGTGTCTTTTTAATTTGTTTTTTAGTTTTCAGCAGGCAGATTGCACATATTTTGTTAAATTTATACTCAAGTATTTAATGTTTTTCAGTGCTATTGTAAAATGGTACTTTAAAACATTTTATTTTCCAATTGTTTTTGCTATAATATAGAAATATGATTTATGTTTGTATATTGGCCTCATGTCCTCCAAACTTTCTAAACTCACATAATAGTTCTAGTAGCTTTTTAAAATAAATTCTTTGGAATTATTTATGTGAATATTTATGTTAACTACAAGTAGAGACAGTTTTATTTTTCCTTTTTAAAATAAATGTCTTTTATTTTTTCTTTCCAGATTCTATTATCTTAGGATGTTGAATAGGAATCATGAGAGAAGACATCCTTGCCTCATTATTTATCACAGAGAAAGCATTGTTTTTCAACATCAGATATCATGCCAACTGTGGGTTTTTGGTAGGTGCTTTTGTTATTAATATATTGGAGAAGTCTCCCTTTATTTCTAGTGTGCTGAATTTTTATAATGAATAGATGTGAAATTTTGTCAAATGTTTATTGTGTACTTATTGAGATAATCCTATAATCCATTGCTACTCTTTTTGTGTAGACATTCAGTTTGCCTCCAACTTCGTTTTTCTTTCTCAGAGTTGCTTTGCCTTTTCAGAGTCTTCTGTGGTTCCATTTGATTTCAAGATATTTTATTTCAATTTCTGTAAAGAATGCCATTGGAATTTGGATAGGTATTGTACTGGGTCTGTAGATTGCTTTTGGTAGTATGGCCATTGATTATTTATTCCTAAGCATGGGATTTTTCCCAAGTATTTGTGTTTTCTTTAATTTTTTGTATCAGCGTTTTGTAGTTTTTATTTCTATAGTGTACAAGTCTTTCACTTCCTTGGTTAAATTTATTCCCAAGTACAGTCATGTACCACATAATAATGTTTTGGTCAACAACAAACTGCATATACAATGGCGGTCTCATAAAATTATAATGGAGCTGAGAAATTTCTGTTGCCTAGTAATGTTGTAGACATCATAATGACATCATGCAAGGCACTACCCACACCTTTGAGGTGATGCTGGTGTAAACAAACCTACTGCACTGCCAATTGTTTAAAAGAATATGGTAATGTGCTTGGCCTTTATATTCACTCACTTCACTTCTCTTACTCATGGCTCACCCAGATCAAGTTCCAATCCTGCAAGCTCCATTCATGGGAAGTATCCTATACAGATATACTGCTTTTAATCTTTTGTAACATAGAAAAGGAGGTACAGTATATACAGCAGGAGTCCCATAAGATTATAATACCATATTTTTACTGTACCTATTCTATGTTTGGATACACAAATACTTACCATTGTATTATAATTGCCTACAGTATTCAGTACAGTAACATGCTGTACAGATTCGTAGCCTAGGAGCAATAGGCTGTCCTATATAGCCTAGGTGTGCAGCAGACTATACCATCTAGGTTTGTGTAAGTACATTCTATGATGTTTGCAAAATGATGAAATTGTCTAATTACACATTTGTCTGAATGTATCCTCATTGTTAAGTGATACATGACTGTATTCTTTTTGATGTTATTTTAAATGAAATTGCTTTATTGATTTATTTTTCAGCAAGGTCATTATTCGTGTATAAAAATACCACTGATTTTTGTGTATTGATTCTGTATCTTAAAAATTTCCTAAATCCATTTATGAGTTCTAACTTTTTTTGTGTGTTGTGGAATGATTAGGGTTTTCTACATATAGACTTATGTCACCTGCAAATTAGAGACAATTTTACTTTTTTCTTTCTAGTTTGAATGCCTTTTATTTCCTTGATTGTCTGATTGCTCTTGCTGGTACTTACAGCAGTATGTTGAATAGAAGTGACAAGAGTGGACATCCTTGTCTTGTACTGGATTTTAGTGGACTTTCTGTTTTCCCTCATTAATTATAATGTTAGCTGTAAGATATCAATAAACTCTATCTGTCCCTTTTATCAGTGAAGCATATGTTTTCCAGAAGGTCCCCCAGCAGACCTCTGCTTCAGTCTCTGTGGCCAGAAGTATGTGACATAGTCATCTGTATTTGCAAGGGAGGCTAGATAAAAAGTGTAGGCACTCCGGCTTCTATGGAAGAAACAAACAGAGAGATGAGTTCATAATGGATGTTGCCTAAATAACCAGCATCGAATGCTCTAGTACCCCTCACCACATGCTTAGAACTACTTCTTTAGTGGAATTTTTCACGTTCTGCAGCATTAGAAGTTTTACTCCCAGGATCTGTATAGCTGTGGAAGAAAAATAAATTCTACCTGAAAGTTCAAGGGCTCAGATAACATTTAGATGGAGCTTTAATTCTACAGGTGGTAACTGATTTTAGAAACTTGCAGAAGATAGTTAATACTGTCCCCAATTTTTCTTTATGCACCGATTTATGCTTGAAATTCTAGTTTTACCCTTAAAAAGCTTTTTATTCTCTTAAAAATTTTGATTTTATTTTATTTTTTCTTTTTCAACTTTCATTTTAGGGTCAGTGGATACATGTGCAGGTACGTGTGTCTTATGGGTGTCTATTTTTCCCATGATAAGTCTTTTATTCTAATTAAAATACATAGAACATCTCTGAGGTAACAGTTGAAGATGTTAACCAGAATTTTACAATTTCCTATAAAGTAAGGAGCTGCAAGTAAATTTTTAAAGAAAGCATTACCACACTGAAGGGAGTACAATATGAGAATCAAAGACTAATTTCATCCCCTTCACAAGTTTGTCTGGAATGAATCCTTTTATGTAATTCATCATGCTGGTTTATACAGTATGTATTCCTGTGATAGTCAGAGGTTTAATTGGACTCTTTGCTTCCTTTATCCAGAGAGTAGACACCAGCTAATATTTGTCCCTAGTTTTTTCCTGTTACTCTCCTATAGAAACCAAAGTAGTCACCTTGCTGGTTTCAAAATGTACTGTGCACTTTCCTGCTTCTTGACTGCTCAGTGAACGTCCCACCAGCAATGCCTTCCCTGTCCACTGAAATCTTGCTCGTGGTCCAGTGCCATTTTCAAATACTCCCTTCTTTGTTCATTCCTCTCAGAGTATTTCATCAGAATTTCTCTTTGAGACACTGATCATATGCTGACTATTGTGGCAATTATTGTATTACATCCCATAATGTCCTTTATTTTTGAGAGTGATAATTAGCCATCTCTGTAGTGCCAGACAAGGCAACTATCACACTATAGGCACTTAATTTTTACTCTATTTGTAGAATAATTTTCTGTAATAAATGAATAAATAGAGTCATACTGTGGCTTCAGTGATCATTGGCCTGAACAGATTGAAAATCTCCTAAATCTCCACTGGGACTAGCACCAAATATCCTGTGCATGTTTTTTTTTTAATGAAGAGCTCACTTTTGACACTGTGTTTTAGTTGTTCCTGTTGTTATATTTTAGAGACATAATTGAAAATAATAAATGAAGGACAATAATCACTAGAATATATAAGAAACAAGATTTCTTAGCATTTTGCACAAAAATGTATGATGACCAGTAATTTATTTAGATAACTTTTCAGAGAACTAAGTTGCTCATCTTGGTTACTTGCAATGACTAGATTGTTTGTCTTATTGTAGCAACCATTCCATCTGGTGATAGTCAGTAGTTAAACTGAATTCTCCTTTATTTGTCGAAAGAGTACATGACTTAATAAAACTGCAGGATTATGAATAACATGTCATGTTTTGGGGGAGGGTAGGTCATTTGATCCAGGAAAGAAGATTCATAGTTAAAATTGCCTGCCTTTCACTGAAAATTAACTCAAAACAGACCTATAGTAAGCAGTAGAGCAACTGTGTTGAAAGATGAGAGATGATTATTGACTGGAGAAAAAAATTGTTTATTTTATGGGTAGCACAAAAACATGTTACTCCTGAGTCTTGCTGATGTCTAAAGATGTTGCCAGTACACTAAATAGAGACGAAACTGATCAAATCATTATAAACAAACGATCACTGGGAGAATATATATTTTAAAACATTAGTATAAATAAATAGTAATTTCCCATTTTCTTTCCCTTAGGAGTGTGTCTATTATGATACTTCAAAAATTTCAAGAACTTAAAGTATAATAAAAAAAATTTCAAGTGACAAACTTTTCTTCCTTTTTTTTTTTTTTTTTTTTTGAGACTGTGTCTCATTCTGTCACCCAGGCTGGAGTGCAGTAGTGGCCAGATCTTGGCTCACTGCAACCTCTGCCTTAAGTGATCCTCCCATCTCAGCCTCCTGAGTAGTTAGGACTACAGACACATGCTACCATGCCCAGCTAATTTTTTGCATTTTTGGTAGAGACAGGGTTTCACCATGTTGCGCAGGCTGTTCTCGAACTCCTGAGCTCAAGCCATCCATTCATCTAGGCCTCCCAGAGTGCTGGGATTACAGGCAGGAGTCACAGTGACCAACCCAGACTTTGCATTTTCAAAACATTGATTGTTTTTTATTGTGTCTCTGATGAAGTGATTTCTCACCCACAGAATCTGGGAATTCTATGATTTTCAGGAGCAGAAACAGTCCTAAGCTAGGAATAAAACGATTGCAAAAAATTCACTAAAGTTCAGAATTGTTTCTGAATTAAAGAGATGGCAGGTATAACTAAAGGAAAGGAGAATTTCGATCCAATAATTTCAAAGACATGGGGCTGCTGACTTACCCCTTTCTGTCATTGTAGGTGCTCATGAGACTATGTGGGGGTTTCCAAGAAGAAACCTGGAAAAGGCAAAGTAAGGAAACACATTTCAGATCTCTATAAGAATGCAAAATGACACTGAATGCTGCCTGCCCCACAGCCCTCCACACATGGTAACCTTCTAATTACAGAATTTCCATCCAATCTCCTTTGAAAGCTTACGAATAGTCTTTTCCTTTCTTCCTCTTTTTCAGGCTTTGTTTCCCCTTAGATCTGTGATGCTGTCCTTATTTCATGAAATCAGGATTCCTTACCTTCCGGAGACTCAGTTACTGATTTAGAGAATTATTTTTCTTTTGTGAAGATGTCAACAAATTGTTCAAGACCGCGTTCTTGAAACAGCCTGTCTTTGGTCTTTTGAAGGTCAAAGTCCATGGACATTAAATTTTATTACTCTAGAAAGAACCACAAGACATTAGTCACTGCTAGTTGCATTCTTATGCTATGAAAGACTTTTATTACTCCTGTTTCTATATATAGAACAGTTCCTCCGTTTTCCCACTGTTTTTAGAACAAACTTTTATGCCCCTATACTGTCACCCATTCTGCAGCAGAAACTCTGCTAAGCTCAGCAGACACTTCAGAAGTGCTTGGTTCTGAGACATCTGAGGCATTGTTTGAACTTTACCTCTGATTTGTGGTCATGGCAAGGGCAAGATGTTTAAGTTCTTCAATCTCGGATGCATATAAGTCTGGGAATCCATCAGCAAGGGCCTTGGGCTCAGTCTTCTGTAAGTGATCATTCTTGTGAACAATCTCTTTCCACTTCATCATGGTGCTCTTGGATGGCCCTCAACAGGAAGATCAAGACTGCAGTGAAAAGAAAATACACCACCTTACTCATATAAACTGAAAACTCACTGATAATGTTTGTGCATTTTTTACACTTGACTTTATAATATGATAATTTTTAATGTCCTTAGATAATTTTAAAATATGAGTTATGAGTTGAATAGTATGTAATGTGTTAACATATAAGTGTATAAGTATATACATATGTATATGAGTAACATGTGCATGTTAACATATGAGTGTATAACAGTTTATGTTAACTATGTAACAATTTACTTAATTTTTGAACAGATTTGTTAAATATATAAATTTTTTATTTTTAAAACATTGAATTGTACTAAGGATCTTATTCTTAATGATTTTTGTTTGTTTGTTGATTTAGTTTGATTTTTTGTTGTTGTTGTTGTTGTTTTGAGACAGGGTCTTGCTCTGTCACCCAGGCTATGTTTTGCAGGAGAGCAAACCTGACTCACTGCAGACTCAACTCCTGGGCTCAAGTGATCCTCCTGCCTCAGCCTCCAATATATCCGAGACCACAGGTGCATGCTGCCACACCTGGTTAATTTTTAAAATTTTACCTTGGGTTTGAACATCAGAATGCTAACAGAAGTTTCTTAACTTTCCCTTTATCTCCTCTCATATTTATGCTGAGGCTCTTAGGGAGTAGAACTGAAAACAAAATAGAGGCAAGGCCTTCTGGTTTTTCGAAGCAGCAGTTTATCAGTTCCAGGGAACAAAGCAGGAGAAAGATGACTTGGCATGAACTCTCAGGGCTGGCTCCCTTGGTGTTGGTAAAGGTGAGTCCCTCCAGGTAGTAGCATCAGTTACTTGGGCATTTATGTCTCCATGGAGACCGGGGAGAGAATAATAGGGCACTCCTCATTTTGAACTCAGAGGGAGGAGCTGCTCTGAATCTACTTTGTCTTAAAGTGACTGAAAACTTCAGACCACACAACTGGATGTAAGATGGGCAGTAAAAAACAGACACTTGGACACTTGGTTTTAGTTTGGGCCCCCTGTCCAGTGTACGGTGGCTTTTCGACTCTGTGCATGAGGCCACCCCACTCCTCTTCTCAGTACTTTGAAGCTTCTGTTTATTTGGATGATTCTTTCTTAGTACTAAAATACATTTTCCTCTATGTGCTCCCTCACTGTTTTACTGTTACCTCTAACGCCCTGAGTAATTTCCCCTGGCCCACCTCTGATTTCAGCCATAACTGTGATGATAGTTCAGCGCAACCTTAGAATCACCTTGTACTGACAGGTGCACCGTGCATCTTTTCACTTTCTGTTCTAGGGCTATCTCACACTCTGCAGAAGCCTGGAAGATCCTGCTTAGCCCATGCGCAAATTCAGTCTAGAATTTCAGGGTAGTAAATAACCATCCATAAATAGGATGAGAGCCAGTGTATAAGGACTACAGGCTTCCATTCTTTGGACTGTTAAGTTATAATTCTAGGAAATATTTTGCATGCTTTTCTTGAGGTTCTCATTGTCCACAGCAGATATTTTGATGTTTCCTTATATTTTCCTCTCTTCCTTCCTTGTTTCACTCCTTTCATTACTTCACTCCTGTGTCCTGGGATTATATCCCAAATATAATAAAATATCCTCACCCATGTCCTTGTCCTATCCACTGCTTTCAGAGAACCCAAACTAAGACAGTTGGCATACAAGTGGTCCTTAGAAGCCAATTCTCAGAATTGGATTGTAGAACTGGTATACTAACCAGTTAGAAGAAGTAAGGATGGCATTGCTGGTATGAGTAGAGAGGTGATAAACTCCAGGGTGGTCATAACTGTGTTGCAGCATTACAGTTACTAGGATGCTCACCAGTGCTGGATTTGGAGAAGGTACAGATATAAGGAGAAGCAATGGTGTGTAGCAGGGATTGGACTATTAGAAGTTGTGGGCCAAATATGATTCATTGCCTAATTTTATACATAAAATCTTACTGAAACACAGCCATGACCCTTCACTTATGCATTGTCTATGGCTGATTGCATGCTGCTAAAGCAGAGTTTAGTATTTTCAACACAGACCCTATGGCCAAAAACATAAAAGAAAATATTTACTATCTAGCCTCTTACAGAAAAAGATTTCTGACTCTTAGTGTACAGCGTGGGTTAATCTCAGCCAGACTGGATTTGTTGGTTGCATACTTATCTCTGAAGTTGCCAGAAGCACAGTACTCATCATCCTTGTCCAATGCACTAACTGAGATAAACCGTGTTTTGCAACCAAGGGTCTGTGAGTTGTTTGGGAACAAACGTAATTACCAGTTAGTATTGCTTAGTAATGTAACATGTGTTACATATGTTTTGGATTTGACTTGCAGCTGGTTTCAGTAGAACCCATGGGGTTTTAATGCTTGAGGCTGGTCACATGGCTGGAATATGCTTACATAAACAACTCATTATAAAAGACTCCTGCCATAAAGACAAATTAGCACTGTTGGTATTCTAAGTGGGACTGCTGAAGACACCCCTGACTCACTCTGTAGAGAAGTGGCTAAGATGGTCTTGAGGAAAGAGAGAAGAAAAGAAAAAAACATTAAAATGAACTTTTCATGGCTGAAATGGTTACCAAATCACCCTTGGTTTGAAGTGGCAAAAACTTGGTGTTCTGTGATGGAAAACTTATTAATGGCGTTTAGAGATGGTAGATATGGAGCCTAGAGAAATAGAAAATGGATTAAAAGAAATGTGCAGGCTGATAACAAAGTGCCAGAGCCTTTGTTTATTCACTTGTTTCCTTGTTCACTTGTTTGCTTGTTTATTCACTTGTTTGCTTGTTCACTTGTTTGCTTGTTTATTCACTTGTTTGCTTGTTCACTATAGCAAAATTAAAAGGAAAAACTGATCAAGAGACAAATGAGATTAAGTTTTTTTGCACTTTGGCCATCAAGTGAAGCTCCAACCAAAGGGATTTGAGCAGATGTAATATTTGAGAGAAAAGCTAGTCTTGTTTTACCTTTAATTACAATAAGCACAATTAAAAAAATACATGAGAAATGCTGTAGGACAAGAGAACGTGCAACTACAGGAAATACATTTAAGAAATTGAGGCCGGGCACGGTGGCTCACGCCTGTAATCCCAGCACTTTGGGAGGCCAACGTGAGTGGATCACGAGGTCAAGAGATCGAGGCCATCCTGGCCAACATGGTGAAACCCTGTCTCTACTAAAAATACAAAAATTAGCTGGGCATGGTGGCATGCGCCTGTGGTCCCAGCTACTTGGAAAGCTGAGACAGGAGAATCGCTTGAACCAGGGAGGTGGAGAGGTTGCAGTGAGCCAAGATCACGCCACTGCACTCCAGCTTGGTGACAGAGCAAGACTCCGTCTCAAAAAAAAAAAAAAAAAAAAAAGAAAGAAAGAAAAAGAAATTGAGCCCACTTTACGGACAGGTATAAGCAGTTCCTTAGGAAGTCACTTTTAAGACAGTTATTTAGAGTTAGTTATCTCTGATGATTTTTTAGGCCCTGGATAGAGCTGAATGTAAGAGTGTGTTTGGGTTAATGCAAGACCTACAATTAGTAGCCATTTTTGCAGAAATGAAACCCTCATAGGAAGAAAAAACATTTGACCTGTTGGTTTGGATTAAAGGAACATACCTTACCTATGAGGAAAAGTAGAGCTGCCCTGCCCCGTCTGGCTAAACTTAGCTACATAATGGCAAATAACTTACTACCTGATGGACAAGACAGCCCCATGTCTTTATCTTTCACACCCTATCCCTTATAAATGAGAATGGGGAAAGCGGGAGGCACTACCAAGACCAGTATTACTTCCAGCAATATGGGTCAGCTTTATGTACTTATTTAGAGGTGAAGATGTTTGATTTAAAATAAATTATGGTCTGAAAGAAGGTAAAATAATTGCAGCCACTACATTTTGGGGTATTTTTATGTAGCAATATGCAGCAAACATATACACTATCCCGTGGTAAATAAACATGTGGAGTCTTTGTCCAGCATAAGCTGGATAGAATCAGACCCATCAAACTGCAAGACTGGATGGGCAAAGCAGCAATTCCCTGTACACATCTGAGACAGAGCCTCAGCAGGTCTATGAACCACAGGTAAATTTTTTGAACTGCTATTCCAGATTCCCATTACACCTACCTTTATTGTACAAATACTGCTTCCTCAGCCAATGCTTCTATTGATTGGCTTCCTAAGACCAATTTATAAAACAGAGAGAAACTTGGGACTGGTTCACAGATGGGCTTATAAAACTATTCTAGAATAGTTCTAGAATGCTGTGGAACTATAGCCCCAGTCAAGGATGTCCTGCAAGACAGTGCTGAGGAAAATCCACCAAATTGGAAAAGTTTTGGATGGTACACCTGGTATCTTTTTTGTATGGGATAAAAGTGTCTCATGGTAAGGACGTACATGTTCTAATAGGCAGCTTTCCTTTCATTTCACTTTTTTAAAATTATGTTTTGTTATTTCCCAAGTGAAGCCACATCGTATTAGCCAGTCTTCAGATGTCCCATCTTCTACTGGCCTATCTATCTAATGTCCAGTGGTAAGAATGCTAGCCAGTGGTTTGGAAGAGCAAAATCTAGGACAAGAAGGTCTGGGAAAGTGGAATGAAAATAGGTAGTTTGGGAATGGGCACAAAGTATGAAGGCTTTGTATTAACATCAATCCCCATCAAGAACACCCACTAGAAAGAAGACAATCAACAATCAGGCAGACAAATCCAGCAGATGTCAACCAGGCTATATCCCCAGCCACTCCATTATGTTCACAGAGGACCCATGAAAGTAGCTGTGGTGACAGCAATGGCGGTTAAATACAGACTCCCTCTAAACAAACCTTTCTTAACTACTGCCATTGGCGAATGTCCAATTTTTCAGCAAAGAGCCCAACACTGGGTTCTTAATGTGTCACAATTAACCTTATACTTGAAAGCAAATTGATTGTATCAGAACCCTTTACCCTACAAAGGGTACTGGTTTATCATTAACAAAACTTATCTATTCTGGACTTGGGTTTACTTTGGTTCCTCATGGTGCCTTGGCAAGCACCATCATCTGAGAGCTTATAGAAAAACTCGTCTATCAGCATGATAACCCATACATCTTGTTTCAGACCAAGTGAGACCTGTTTTATGGTAAAAGAAGTGCAATACTGAATGAATGGTAGTGGACTTTTTTTGGTCTTATTACATACCTTACTATATTGAGGCAGACGGCATATTAGAATGGTGGGATGGCTAGATAAAAGCTTAACGAAAGTTCCAGCTTGAGGTTAACACTGTGTTGAGTTGGAGTGTTGGCCTCCAGAATACAGTATATGTGTTGAACCAACAGTAAGTATATGGGGCTATATCCGCAACAGGTAGAATAGATGGGTCAATCAACTAAGGAATGGGAGTAGGATTGGCCCCCCTCACCATCGCTTTCAGACACCCCCTTGTAGAATTTGTGTTATCTTGATAACCATAACCTATGTTGAATCAGAGGCCCTAGTTCTCCAGGAAGAAAGGCTTTTCCTCAGAATACAGTAGGAATTTCATTGGTTGTGCATGCTATCAGGTCAAAATGCAAAGAAAAATATGAGTAAAAAGGTGGGAGTGAGTAACTTGATTTCTAAAGAGAGCTATGGTTGCTACCATACAGTGCAGGTAGGGAGAAGTACGTCTGGAACTCAGGAAATTCACTAGGTTTATCTCTTGCTGTTTCTATGCCCTGAGTTAATAATGAATAGGCAATTATATCAATCACTTCCTTAAAAGTTAAAGATAATTAAGGACTTAGTGTCTCAGGGGCGAAGAACTACATCACCTCTCCAGAAATTATAAATAATTTGGAATGCTAACAAAAGTGAGAAAAGTCTAATGTGGATAGAGCAAGAGAGAGATAATACAAATTAATTACTGCCTTGGGGCCAATTGAAACAGCAAGGACTTCAGTTTGTTTACCTAATCCCTTTGTATTAAGTCTTTAAATATATTGTGGTTGGCCACTACCTTGAAGCAGGCAGTGTGACAGCTTAGATTTAACGGATAGTTTGAGTAGGTTGGAGGGATGAAAAATTGGATTGTATTAGACAACACTTCTGCATAATATCATATGTCCTAAGCCCCACACCTTACACCCACCATTGTAGCAGTGACTAGATCTGCTCAGATTTTGACAAGCTACATCAAGTTGTGACTTGACAGTGCCACACCTTTGGCCTCATGATATGTACCTTTTGTTTTGAGATCTATGGTTTCTCTGATGTCAGAATAAGGAATATCTGTGAATATTAGTTCAATACCCACAGAAATTAGAAAGTGTAGGAGAGCTAAGGTTGGTAGGGCCACACTTGACCAATGGAAGTTAGGAGCTGATGGATAAATGTGCCCTTCTTTTCTCTCTTGAACAGATAGCTCTGAGACATTATTTCATAAGTTTCCTTTAGTAATCCTATAAAATCAAGCTCCAGTTGCCTGAAGCAGTGGCCAACTTTAAAACATATTCTTCATTTTTTTCTCTTTCTCTGTCCTTCACACCTTATTCATATTTTCCCATTGCTTCTTTATTCACATTTTCAATAAACTGCCTGCCTTTGGGATAAGGCTCTATCTCACACTCAGCCTCAAGGGAAAAATATATGATTTCTACCCTGCTGGAATTATTTGTTAACATAACTTTCTCTCTATTGGACTGTAAGTTCCTTGAAAGAAGAAAGTGCTAAGTGCCCAGTGAATATTTATTGAATTAAATTAAAAAATTTAATATGTATAAATATTTTCTAGGTATGACATTGGCATGATGTGTTCTTATGATGAAGTAAAGCACACATCTCCAGGGAAACTGAATTTATTTAAAAAATAATTGTTTTTATTATTGTGAAAACAAAGTTGACTGTCTTTACCATTACGAACTGTCTTAAGTTTATTTTCCTAAAAAGCAAGAGACAGTTAGATAGATCAGGCAATAGAAGAAGTACTTTCTGAAGACTGGCTGCCACAATGTGAGCTTGCTTGGGAAATAATAAACCATAATTAAAATAATTAAAATGAAAGGAAAGCTGCCCACTACTAGAGTTTGGTGAGTTTGTCACACATGAGGGAAAGAGCTACTGTAACTAATTTAATTGCAACAATTATAGTAATAGGTGCCATTTCCTGGGAATCAAGTATGTGATGGGTGCTTTTCTAAGTGCTTTGCATGCATTCTCTCAGTTAATCCTTATAATATCATACAGTAGAGACTTAGACTTTTTATACATGTGGAAACTGAGGTATGTAGAAATTAAGTAATTTGCCCAAGTTCACTTAGAAAAAATGATTCAGAACATAAATTCAGACTCCGTGCCTCTAGGACATGTGTCCTCTACCATAGTATACCTCAAAGACCCACATGAGTGGTCTATTTTCTCTGCACATGGGTTCACGATTATCTCTAAAATGCTGAATTAATACCACTTTAAAATCTTTGACCCAGGGTTCCCGATCAAGCAAAATAACACTTCACACAAATTAAAAGGCAATAGGAATGCACCTAGAAATGGTAAGCAGAAAAGCTCTAGCGTATGCTTTATTTTTTACTAGGATGTCTAATATTGATGGTACAAATGAATAGTATGCAAAAAGATTTGTGACTACATATGTCTGACTTCTGAGCCTGTGCTTTAGTTGACTCTACCACATGAGTGTAATTTAATGGGATGAATACCGTCTGGGAATTCAGAGACCTTGCTAGGTTAAAATGAATATGGTTTGAGAAAGTTAAGTGCTATTTAATTGTTTAGCACTATTAATCATCAATGTATTATTCATCTGCTACATGACCCAGTACTATTTACAATATAAGATCATCTTTCTTATAATTAAAATAATCCTTAAAGCAAAAGCGTTATTACCCTTGGGGTTAATGCACTATTTTCAGAGATGACACAGTGAAAGAATGTTTAAACCTCTGGGAAAGCATAAATGTTTACTTTTCCTCTCTTTTAATATTAAAGAAGCCACTGAATGTTCTGGACAAATGCTCCTTTTGGGCAAGGTTTATAGCCTCATAGGTTCAGTTTCTCTTCCCTTGGAAACTTTCTGATGGTTTTTCCTCAGAACACTTGTTCACGGTGTAGGAATAATGTCAAGTATAGCTGTTGGTCAAATTTCTATTGGTCTTCCAACCCAATTTAGCTGCCACAAGAATGGTTAGACTTTCATTTAACTGAAACATGGGTAATTTCCATACCAAGCAAGAAGGGTCCTGTGCCTCTGTGCTCCCTTCACACCAGCGAAGAATGGGGAAAGGAAGAAATCACCTCAGTGGGGAGAAAAATGGAGACTTATCTGGAATCAAACTGAAGCCAACATACCAGTAAACTGTGAACTCTAAAGAAGACCGACTGAGTCTTCTTTATTTCTTGATTCCCAGGACCTAGCAAAGGACATTTTAAGCATTTTAGCAAGTGATTTTGAAGGAAAGAATAAGCAAAAATTTAGCCCAAGAAAACATATTCCTTTCACTTAATAAAAGGAATAATTGCAATGTTGAAGTTAGAAAATCAGGATTCTGGCTTCTTCTTCTTCTTATAATCTATTTATTGACTTTATTAAGACTGAAATTTCTCATCTGTAAAATGGGAAATAAACTGTCTTCCATATGAGTGGCAGATCTATCCAAAATGCAAATCTAACTAAGACACTCTTTCTTAAAACCTTATAGTCTCCTGGATCAAGTCCAGGTTCCCTTGTGAAGCACAAAACTCCTCCATGATCTAACCTCTGGCTTTCTCTTAGAAAAGCTTTTTGGACAAATAACTCTCAGAGTTGCAAAGTGAAGTGGCTAGATGATTTATGAGTTGTAAGAGTCAGCTGAAAGAATAGTCATGAAAATGTAGGACAGCGTCATTCTTATAACATCAGGTCAGCAATGGAGCTCCAGATGTTAGGAATACATCCCTGCAAATCACAGAAACCCCTACTGCAGTGATGGAAATAGATGGGAGGGAACATCAAGCACAAAATCCCTGAAAAGGGAAGAAGACTGGTATGTTCCGTGAAGAGAGGCTACAAGTAAGGGGTATGAACCAAGTCTGAAGAAGAAGGGAAATCACATAAAGCCTTAAATGCTCGTAATAATCAGTTTGCATTTTATGCTAGATGCAAAGGGATCAGGTTGAAGGGTTTTTAAGCCTATCAGAATAAATACTAGGTAAGAGACAAACGAATCAGGAGTTTGGCTTCATAGCTAAAGGAATGGTGGGGAAATTTGCTACATGGGAAGGAAGAGAGAAATGGATTTTGTTGGTTGTGGGGGCAAATGGAAGAAAATAATAAGTTTAATTTAATTTTATTTATTAATTAATTCATTTATTTATTTTTTTGAGACCCAGTCTTGCTCTGTCACCCAGGCTGGAGTGAAGTGGCGCGATGTCGGCTCACTGCAACCTTTGCCTCCCAGGTTCAAGCAATTTGCCTGCCTCAGCCTCCATAGTAGCTGGGACTACAGCTGCATACCACCACGCCCAACTAATTTTTGTATTTTCAATAGAGACAGGGTTTCACCATGTTGGCCAGGTTGGTCTTGAACTCCTGGCCTCAAGCAATCCACCTGCTTCAGCCTCCCAAAGTGCTGGGATTACAGGCGTGAGCCACCGTGCTTGGCCAGTTTTATTTTAGACATGCCTGTTAAATAGGCAGTGCCATACATAGGTTAAGTAATTACTAACATTGGAGTCTGGATCGCAGGAGACAGAACTACGCTGGAGAAAGCCTTCGTCACCTTGAGTTAGGAGCTTCTTTCCAGTGTTTACAATGGAAGATTTCAAACTCTTCTACTGGAGTCTTGGGGCTCCCAGAAAACACCACAGGGGCAACTCAACAAATTGAAGGAAGGTCAGAGAGTTGGGACTCTTTAACAAAGTAGCTTCTGTTTATTTATTTGCTTTGTAAATCTGCTTCCTACATATGGATTCCATGTGATATTTCATTTTAAAAAGTATTTGAAAGTCACATCATAATAATAGCTATCATGTCCATAGTGCCAGATGCTGTTCTAATGTACACATATATACATAAATGAACATACATATGGATATATATAAACTAATTTAAACATCACACCAGCTGTGTACAGTGGATACCATAATTAGCCCTATTTTATTATGGGACACTGAGGCAGAAAAGTTAAATGACTTACCTAAAGTCACAAAGCTAGGAAGAGGTGAAGTCAGAGTTAGGTTGGCATTCCTAACAACTATTGCAAAAGAGTGCTGAAAATTTTTAACATGGTATACAAGACTTTAAACTATTTAACTGCCCCATGGCTTATAAAGATATCCCAAGCAAGCCATGCTCCAGCTAGTCTCGATTGTATAGTATTCCCCCAAGTCATTCACACCCTTGCCTCTATGCTTTTGTTCATTCTGTCTTTCACAATGCAGCTAAATGAACACATTTTCCTAAAGGCTTGCGTGACTCCTCATCTTCTGAAGGCAGAATGTATCATGAACTCCTCTGGACTTTTAGAATGCTCTGTTCACAGTTCAGTGAAATTAATTATGATTTGTGTGTGCATGTGTGTGTGTGTGAATGTGTCTATCCCCTTCCTCTCCCACATCTACACAGAGATTGTAAAAACCTCAAGGGCATCAGCACTTTTCTTTGTCTGACTGAGCTCCACAGGGCCTTTTTACTTCTGGAAGGCTAGAGTTGGTGAGAGAATTATGAGTTCAGTTTTGGATATAATTAATTTTGGTCGCTTATTGTAGTCTAGAAATAAATATAGATACAAAAGCAATATATAGCACAATAAAACAATTGCTGTAAAGCAGTGGTATTTCACAGATTCTTGAGTCGGACTGCTTAGGTTCAAATCATGGTCCTGCAACTTGCTTCCTAAACTTAGAGAAGTTATTTAGCCTCCCTTTGCCTCAGTTTGTGCATATATATTATCCAAATAATAATCCTACCTATTTCATAGTGCTGTTTCCAGGATTACAGAAGACATAACGCACTTGGAACAGTGATTGGAACGTAGTATGTATCTGATAAATGTTTATCATTATTTTGTTACCTTTATTTTGGAAACATATTCCAATGTGTCCCAGGTTCTTGAATTTTGTATTTACAGCACTTGTGACTATAAAGACAATACATGTTTTTTAAATGACTGATTCAATTAATGAATAGACTACACCTGTTGATTCATTAGTTGATACAATAGATACTTATTGTGTATCTACAATGTTCTATTGCTATGCTAGTTTCTGAGGTTTTCTTGGTGACTCAGATGAGGATTCAGCCCTTTCAGAGATAATTGTCTCACTGGAAAGAGTGAGACTACAATTGTGGAGCAAACACATAAACGGGCAACTATCTCAAAGGATAATCATAAGGAATATAATAAGGGAAGTACCAAGTGCTATGGGAACAGAGGAGAGACCCTTTCTCAGATTTGGGAAATTTTAACATTATCTAAGCCAAGTCCAGCAGCTACCTAGGTCACTGGATTGGTGGAAAAGAGAATACAAGATAATGTTTAAGCAGAGTACACACAAAAAGTTTTGGAAGTCAGGAAGAGCAGGGCCTATTGGAGGAACTTAAAAAGAGCAGTGTGACTAGATGTGAGGCAGCAAAAAGGGACAGACTCAGATTAGAAAAGATCTTATGAGTATTTTAGTTAGTTTGGACTTTATTACAAGAGAAAAGGTTCGTTATTGAAGGTCTCGATTAGAAGAGTACCTTGATCAGAACTGTGTTTTAACAATATAATTCTGGCTGAAGTATAAGAATAAACTGGATGGCCGGTCGCGGTGGCTCATGCCTCTAATCCCAACACTTTGGGAGCCCGAGGCAGGCAGATCACCTGAGGTCAGGAGTTTGAGACCCGCCTGACCAACATGGAGAAACCCTGTCTCTACTAGAAGTAGAAAATTAGCCGGGCATGGTGGCACTTGCCTGTAATCCCAGCTACTCAGGGGGCTGAGGCAGGAGAATCACATGGACCCAGGAGGCAGAAGTTGCAGTGAGCCAAGATCTCACCATTGCACTCCAGCCTGGGCAACAAGAATGAAACTCCATCTAAATAAATAAATAAATTGGACAAGGCCTAAACTGAGTGCAGGGAGACCAGTTTAGAAGCATTGCAGAAGTCGAGGAGATTGAGAGAGACAGGACTAAGTAAGTGGAAGTGAGGGTGAAGAAATGAGGACTGGAGACAAATCATCAAAGCCTGATGATAGATTGGAAGTCCAGAAAGTCTCACTTTCTGAGAGACAGTTGAATAGATAGCAGTACTGGGTATGGGGGTAGGAAAATTAGTACGCTAGAGTTGGTGAGAAAATTATAAGTTCAGATTTGGATATACTTAGTTTCAGTTGCTTATGACATTCAAAAAGAGAAAACAGCTAGATGAATTAATCCAGGGTTTGGGTTTGCCAGCCAGTAATTGCATGAATAAGCATCAAAATGTCTGAGGATATTGTCAATGGTCTCATTGAAGTGATGGCTTCTGGAATCTAAATAGAAAAGGAAGGGAAAAGAGAAAGTCTAGATAAACGTGAGAAAATAGATAGGTGACTGAAAAACAAAGAGGTATTGCCAAAGAGCAGGCACAATGACAATAAGTAGGCAGAATGGAAGAACTGAAGTTAGGGTTACATTACTGGAATTTATCATTTCAGGGATGAATCCTTCCAGAATGATAACAAGGACCAAATTGTGGTCGTGAGAATGGGCAACAGAAATGGAGTAAAGGCAAAAGTCAACAGAGATAACTAAATCAAGAAACCAAGGGGTCAGAGTGTTGTATATAACCTATAAGTGCATTTCACATTATTCAAGATGGTGGCAGAACTCTGGAAGGAAAGGAACTCTAAAAATGGCAATGCAGCCCTTCAATCAATATGATGTAGCACCTGGAATGTTAGTAGATGACACCAGGGAGGGTATATTGAGATAAAGAATAACAGAAAACTCTCCGGGTTTTAGACTTTCTGGGGGTCTCTGGAGAAGCCTAGATATGCCCAAAATTTAAAGTATTCTTTTAGAAAAAATATGGGCAGGGCAGATAATCAAGCCATGCAACAGAATTCATAGTGGGCTACATTCCCAGGAATGAAGTGAAAACAGACTCGTTATCAGTACATGCAGGTTATATCCACCTGGGAGCCCCAAGCATCTCATGCAGTTCATTTCTTCCCTGGTTTTGAAAAATTGGCACTGAAAGTAGAAACAGTGAATGTAAGAAAACAGGAAACTCCTAATGGGAATTTATTCTTTCTGAAAGGCTATTTTTAAAGCAAGACTTTTTTATTTTTTAAGAAAAAAAATGGTTCAAGGCATTTTCCCCCTTCAGAATCCAGGTGGAAGAAAATGCAAAAACAAATCAGTAAAAAGAACTGGAAATTCTCCACTCTCCTGGCATGTTCCAGTACAAACATCATGGGAGGTGTGGAAAACTTCACAAGGCAACATTTCATAGGATCATGGGCTTTTTGAGCTGGAAGGGACCCTGGATCAAATGGACCGATGCTTCATTTTGAATGAGAGTGCCCTGAAGAGGTCAACAGAATGGAAGATAGTCAGTCTGAAACATTGCCAATTAGAAAAATCATTCCTTATTTTTCACAAATAACCTTTTCAATTTCATTAAAAAATGAAATTCTAATAATTTTAATGAAAATCTTAGATAAATTTTATTTTGGGAATATAACTATGCAAGTTATATATTATGGCAATATAACTCTAATCAGAATTTTAACAACAATTTTACTCCTAATAAGACCTTGTTCATTTAATAGCTTATATAAAGTTGTTATGTAATCTTGACTCTGAACTTTTGAAATAGTTCTATAACTTTGTGGAATGACACATATCTTTACTGAAAACTCACTTCCCTGTTAATGCAATTAGCAAATCAGAAGTAATGCCAATTAGGAAGCTTAAAGTGATTTGTTCTATTGGTGTTATAATTTACAATTTTTCTCACAGTAATCATGCAATAGTCTAGCTTTTCCTTCTTTCACTTAAATCTTCATCCATATATACTCGACGTGTACCTAACATGATAAAGTAGAAAGAAGGGAACATTTTCTTGATTATTGGAAGGCAGGTAAATACCCAATCTAACATGCTCTTCTCTTCACCATCTGATAATAGGACATAACTTGCTTAATTTTATCTCCAGGAAAATCTCACTTTGGCTTTGTTCTAGTATCCTAAGACAGTTCAAATTTTTTAAATGAGCAGAACTCTTTATTCAAATGAAATCTTACCAGGTATGGAAAATAGATAAAAGCTGAAGTTTCAGTTAAGGTAGACATGGCACATGGTCCACAGCTCAGCCCACATACCTTTCCGGTCCCCAAGTCTCCATCTCTCATAGCTCTAAAATATTTTGTGGAGCTGGGTTTGAAAACAAGTGTCATAATAGGATCTACAAAAATCCGAGGCAAATAAATATCTTAGATTAGTTTATTTGCACACTCACAGACACCTCCTCCACTCACATGTGTACACACGATATATATATATATATATGTATATATATATGTATATAAGTTATGCATAAAGAAAGACCTGGCTATTTAAAAATAGCACTATAGAAACCAAATAGAAAATATTATTTCTGATGCATTTGGAAATGTTAATGGAGAATAAATTTCAATGGTTTACGAGGTTTATGGTACATAGCATGGTCTGGTTTACACAAATTGACACTGGCTTCTTTTGACCAAGAGCTGGATTTTATTTATATTCTGGTTGGAACCTTTGACTCATATGATCAGACACCCACATTACCCCTTTAGTCTAAAAAAAATCCACTTGGATACACAAGAGTGAAGAAGGTAGCATGTTGCTGTCTCCTTTGTGGATTGTGGTTAGTGTAACACGATCGTGAACAAAAGGATCATGAAACCACACGGTGTGGGCATGGAATACTTCAAAGTAGCAGCTGCTTTCAAACCCAAAAGGTTTACACAGGCAAATTGAGCGTGTGGCTAGTTAGTGTCCTAAGATGACTTGAGTGGAGATTGAACCCAAGGGAAAGGTGAAGGGCACTAAAAGAAAGATGCCATCTTTGGCTGAACACCTACTGTATGCAAGAGACTTACCATGTATAGTCCCTTTTTATTCATAGTACAATCCTACTAGGTTAACTTCTGTTTACAAAAGAGGACACTATAGTTGGGAAAGGTTGATTTAGTTTATCTAAATATCATACTATCTCCTTGCTCTTCCCCAAACTTGCCAAGCATGCTCCCACCTCAAGGCCTTTGGTATTTGCTTTTATTTCTGCATAGGATTCCCTTCCAACAGATAGTCTCATATCTCAGTTTCTTATACCACACTGTTTCCGCTCAACTTTATCTTCTTAGTGGGGCTTTCTTTGATCACCTTTCATAAGATATCTCTCTTTGACACTTGCTATTCACTTCCTGTGCTTTATGTTTAATGGCATCTATTGCTACCTGGCATTATATAAACGCATATTCTTCAGTTTTTCATTTGTTTTTCACAGTGGAATATAAACTCTATTAGAATAGGGACCTTGTTCATATAGTTTACTGCTTTGGCACCAATACCTGGCAAAGCATGTGTCTGGAACATAGCAGATGATCAATAAATATTTGCTAATAAACAAAGGAATACATGTGTACCAAGAAATTAAATAAAAGGCAGAGGAGCAGGGCATTTTATTCCAATTTTAGTCTTTTAAGAACTGAACATTTTAATCTTTTGCTTATGCCCTGTGAGTCCCTTGACCTCCCTGGACTCAAATTGTCACTTGGAAGATTCTGTCTTACAGGTTGAGTAGCAAAGTGGATAGCTGTTGGAGATACTAATACACATATCTCTTCTTTCATGGTAAGTGTATCAGAATATTCTTTGGGAGAACTATCTCTTTCATATCTTAGCAAATTAAGTGGATTCTTCTCATCCCCAGCTCCATGGATGAGTCTTGACTGGCTAAAGTCAATTAGTGAAGACCATAATTTTGGCCAATGTAATTGAGTCAGGGGTGGTCACATGTCTGATACAAGCCAATGAGATCAAGGAGTCATTTTTTTCTGCCTTCTAGCAAACATGCATCCTCATACTTCAGAAAATGTTCTAATAGAGATGATCATTTTTTTCTTTTGGGGCACAAAAAAGTGATTGTGAAGATGTCAAGTAGGAAAATTCTGAGTTGTAGCTAGGGTTTATTTAACGAATACTGAATCTCTACTATGTGAGAGCTGTCAGGTACTATTTTAGACATTGAAGATATGATGGTTAACAGTAGAGATAAGGTCTTTGTTCTTATGGAGGTAATATTTTATGGGGAAGACAACAAAATAAGTAATCCAATGGATATGATAACTTCAGCTAGTGATACACGTTGTGAAGAAAATTAAAATACATTACCTAATGGGGAATAAATGAGGGGCTTTACATTGCGCTAACAGGTGGGGCCTTTCTGGGGAGAATTTCCAGCTCTCCATATACCTGCCCCTTTCATCAAAAGAATATAATGATTTGACTTTTTAAATAAATAAATTATATTACTTTGAGTGATTTTTGGTCATAAGCAAGTAACAGCTATTGTAAAATTGTAAAATAAAAATTATAATATATTATGGTCAATAACATTACCATATGACCATCCTGTATATTTTAAAATTTTTTATCAAATATGTCAGAAAATACCTTCTTTCATCTCATTGACCTCTACTGAGTGAATGCGATCATCTCTAAGCCAATCACCTTGTCCAGGATTATGGGCCTCACTAATTGGCTTAAGCCTACCCATGGACTTGAGACAACCCTATGACTGCAGTCAGGGAGGCTAAGAAATGTTACAAAGGAAGTGTCATGAGAACAGCCAGAAAAATGGGGGGATTGGAATAAAATAGACAATGAAATCTATAATCTCTTCTTTCTGCCCCATGCTACAAACACACTAAATATCTGGACAAGTATTAACACAACTCTAAGAAAAAAATGTGACATCCCAGGGTGTCAGAACTTAGGAGAAGCTCAAGGCACAGGAATAATCAGAAGCTGAGAGCACAGCAGTGTAAAAGAGAACAAGTCCCAAACACAAAATATAGGGCAGAAGATACAGTCTTTACTCCGTGAAAGAAGGAATGCTGAAATTAAGCTCCTGTATAAATCTGGATTTAATTATGAAAAAAGGTCTAGAAAAACTCCACCTACAGGCCAGACAATAGAAAACAACAATAAAAATGCTTGTCATTCACCTGGGAATGTGCATAGGAGAAAGGTCACCCCAGTCTTCAACAATCCAGGCTGACAAATTGTCATTAAAACTGGTCAGAAGAAGTTAAACCCTTGGAGATCTAATCATTCAGAAGGGGACACTTTCATAGCCTCAGGCACATAAAACTTTCATAAGAGGAGAAGAAACATTGAAGATAAATTGACAATTCAAATTTAAATAACCCACAAGGAAATAAACCACAGAGGAAACATCATTAAAGTCAGCTACTACTTAAAAATGACAGTTACAAAAACAACCTGGATTTTCTAGGGGACAGGGCCTGGCTTCTTATGGTCAGGAGCTGAGGTGGGAATATTTGGAAGCAGTGCCAGTGTGGAATGAAGTCAAAGCCCCAGAGGCTTGGAACAATGGCTGGAGCAGCTAAGAGTGAGGATTGCTAAACCAGAGTGGCAGGAACTCTGTTGAGGCCAACAGGCTGTGGGAATTTCCCTAAAGCCAGCCAGGTTCCTATAACATTAAGGTTGAGGGGATATTGATTTTCAAAATGGCAAAGAGAAGGGAAGCTGAGTCTGAGACACCTGCTCTAAGCCAAAATAAGTGAAGCATCTGAGATTGTGCCTGGAGAGGGGAACACATGGCTGACAGCATGTGGAGAGTTGCTCAGAATTGACTCCGAAAGCCGAAAATAAGCATGACTTCAGAAACCAGATGGCCAAAAAGTGAGAAGTCAAGCAATTGTAGTGCATGATTGTCAAAAGAAACAATATATAAAACATTTAAACACCAAAAGACTGACAATATAAAATTTGGCAGATATAAGACTATGTATAAAAATACTTTTAAAAATAAAGTATGCAATTACAAATGGTGAATATACCAAAAATATCAAGCATAAACACTTTTTAATTTTATTTTTTCCAGCTTTATTGAGATATAGTTAACAAATACTGTGTATATTTAACTTTATGTGTGTATATATAGAGAGAGAGAAAGAGAGAGAGACATACACACACACACACACACACACACACACATTGTGAAATAACCACCAGAATTAAGCTAGTTAACATAGCCATCGCTTCTTGTAGTTACCATTTTCTTTCTTATTTTATTGTGGTGAGAATACTAAAGATCTACTCTTTTTTATTTTTTATTTTTTTTAAAGGCAGAGTCTCACTCTGTCACCTGGGCTGGAGTGCAGTGGCGCAATCTCGGTTCACTGCAACCTCCGCCTCCTGGGTTCAAGCGATTCTCCTGCCTCAGCCTCTCGAGTAGCTGGGATTACAGGTACCCACCACTATGCCCAGCTAATTTTTTGGATTTTCAGCAGAAACGGGATTTCACCATGTTGGCCAGGCTGGTCTCGAGCTCCTGACCTCATGATTTGCCCACCTTGGCCTTCCAAAGTGCTGGGATTACAGGTGTGAGCCACCGCGCCCAACCCTAAAGCTCTACTCTCTTAGCAGTTTTCAAGTATACAATACAATATTGTTAACTATAGCACATTGCTGTACATTAGATTTCCAGAACTTATCCATCTTGCATAACTGAAATTCTATAGTCTTTGACCAATATCTCCCCATTTTCCCCTTCCTCCAACCCCTGGAAACCACCATTCTACTCTCTGATTCTATAAGGTTGACTATTTTAAATGCCACAGAGACTTTTCAAAAACAGATAGAAACTCTAAAAGCTATTGTGGATATGTTTCAGGTGAAATTATAATAAGTTACAGAAAGAACAACAGAATACACTCCATGTGGTTAAGCCCATTAGAGAAATATACTCTTCTCGTGGAGAGAAGGTGGTGAGCAGGTTGGGGAAAGCTTCGGATTGCCTGTGACTCTGTCTTTAGTAAATCACCTCCAGATGAAGTAGGAAGCAAAATGCATATCTATCTATCTAACTATCTATCTATCTATCTATCTATCTATCTATCTATCTATCTATCTATTTATCTATCTTTTAACCTTCATGGTTTCCAATCCAGTTTTACCAGTAATAATGCTGATATATTTAATCTGAGTCTTGTATATATTTTTTAGGTTTACTTTTTAGTTCTGTTATTCTTTCAACTTATTTTTCCATGTTTTATTTTGAAAAATTTTAAACTACATACAATTGCAAGAATAAGGCAATGAGTACCCATATACTCTTTATCTAGAATCACCAATTGTTAGTATTTTTCACATACACTCTATTTCTCTTTATAAATATTTGCATATTCTCAGAATCTTTTGAGAGTACGTTGAAGATATCATGAATCTTTGCTCCTAAATTCTTCTGTATATGTATACTAACAACAAAGACCTTCTCTTACATAATCACAGTATTGCTATCAACTTCAAGAAATTTAGTACTGACACAATACTATTACCTAATATACAGTCCATATTCTAACTTTGCCAATTGTTGCAGAAATGCTATTTATAACCATTGTTTTTCCTGATCCAGGGTCCAATCCAGGATTATAGCTTGCATTGGATTGTGACATCTCTTTAGTCTTCTTTAATCTGGAACAACTGAACAACTCCTCAGTCTTTCTTTGGCTTTCATGACATGAACATTTCTGAAGACCACCATTCAGTTGTTCTGTGAATGCCCTCTTCGTGTGAGTCATCTGATTGTCTTCTCATTATTGGATTTAGGTTTTGTGTCTTGGTCAGAAATACTGCACAGATTATGGGTACTTCTCTCAGTTAATCACATCAGGAAGTGCATGATGTTAGTTTGTCCCATTACAGATAATGTTAACTTCACTTGGTTAATGTGATTTCTCTATAGTAAAACAACAATTTTTCCTTTGTAATTAATACATAATCTGTACGTAGATAGCTTTAACCTGTTTAACAACAAACTCTGACACATTGGTTGTAGCTTCCTCTGATGATTCTTGAATAAACCAATTATTGTTATATTGATGGCTAAATGTTTTGTGTCTTTTGCTTTGACTGGATTCTAATCTGAAAGGACAAGGATGTCGTTTCTCACCCTCAAACCCAACGCCTGATGCTTAAGCCTGGTAACTTCAAGAAATCCATATGCAGGGTAGAAAGGCAAGAAAAGGTGTCTTGGAGTAGCTCGGGTAAACAGTTTTATTATTATTATTTTTTAGAAACAGGATCTTGTTCCCAGCCTGGAGTGCAATGGTGCGATCATAGCTTACTGCAGCCTCAAATTCCTGGGCTCAAGTGATCCTCCAGCCTCAGACTCTCAGGTAGCTGGATTTACAGACCTGGGACACCACAACTGGCAGTGAACAGGTTTAAAAGAAAAAAAGGTCTAGCCAGTATTTCAATTTGTGGGCTGCCGCAGTTTTTATTGTGACTGGCGTCTGCAGGGGTTTCATTAGGTTTAAAAAACATGGCCAGATTTGGAGGTTAACCCAATTTTTTGTCTAGTGTCTTCAAGTGTGGAATTGTATTTGTGTTTAGTAAATAAAGGAATTGAGTTTAAGGATTAAGATAATTAGGGCCTTCACTTAAGCAAGCATATTCTGGATTCAGGGAGAGTGAGATTCCTTCCCATCAGTAAAAAGACTCTCGTGGCTCTAGAAAACCAGGCTTATCTTCTGACAGTTTCAAAGTCTGTCCAGGATAAATGCCCTTACAGATCTAGGACACTCTTATCTCAAAAGATGCAGTGTCTTTTTAAAGCACCTCTGCCAGGAGAGGGCACTGAGCTATGGGGGGCACGCTCTGATTGCTACCATTCATTATCTTTGGAGTGTTGACATGAAGACATGAGATTGCAATTGATTTTTTGCTTTTAATCTCCCTACCCTATGTATCTTGTTTCTCAACTTGTGCTAAGATGCAAGCCTTTAAGAAATTCTGGTTCTGTTGCAAGGGGCAATAGGTGGTAGAAAGGGAGTTTCAGACTGCCACTGGGAAGTTATTCAACAGCTGGAGATTAAAAGCTGAAAAAACGAGGTTTGAGGAAAGTTATGGGTCCTAGGCCTCTAATTCTCATGGAATTTTAAGGGAAACTCCAGGAACAGCAATAGGATGAGTAGACACGAGTTCTACAAAACTGGTGCAGCCTGGTTAGCAAGACTGCACACAAACGACATACCTTTGCTATCAAATTATTATCTATCTTACTATTCCAACGGATTATAAAGCTATGAATTACTTATTATGACCCTTTTCTGCTCTCCTAGAGGTATCAAAGGTGACTATTTGACAGCAAAAATGGTCCAAAAAGGAATTCTAGAGGAGTCAGCATAGCAAGCCCTGTTACTTCTAACATACACATATGTGAAGGTGATATTACCTTCTGAAGAGCAGAGTTTGTGAAGTACTGTCTTATGCGGAAGAGTGCCAGGGGAGACCCAAGAATCTGGCTCGTGCTGAGCAAAAGGACATGGATACCCATGTAAGCGTCACAGCAAAGGGGAAGACCCTTGAAGAGAGAGAATGGAATGGCCACCCTTATCCTGCCCAAGTCTCCAAAGGATGATGTTCCACCCTGTGTCCACAGGTCCTGATTTAGGAATACAGCTGACAGGTGAAATTAGCACTCTTCAGGCTTGCCAGAAATTGCCAGAGCATGGGGGAATAAGCATATAAAACAAGGGAATATAGTTAATGCCTCCGTCTGGTGACAACGTAGAACCTCTAACCAAATCTTTCAGGAGGATCACCCATAACAAGAAACCTTTGAGAAACTGGGTCCCTCAACCAGCCAGACAGATTAAACCCCGCTCCCTAACCTATATGAATAGAATTCACAGAATGAGCCAGATGAGCAGTGATTCATTCTCTCAAGAAAATATTTACTGAGTATCTAGTATTTGACAAGAACTGTTATTGGCAAAGGGATAGAACAGGAAACTAGACACAGGTTCTGCTTTTCATTCATCAAGAAAGACAGGTAATAAATGAAAAAATAGATACACAAAATGAGACGAAATGTATTTTAAAATAACACAGGACAGCAAACTTACTTCAACAGGGAATTATAAAAAAAATGGCTTCCCTTAAGATGGCCCACCCCTCCCAAGAGTAAGTCCACAGAAGAAGCAAAAGAGAGGCAAAGAAGATGAGAGAGAAAGTTATAATCCAAAACAAAAGTTCTGTGGCTCAATATAGCCTGGAATGGAGGAGGAAGAAAGAGTCTATAGGGATGGGATAGAGTAAGGGGATTTTGAACCAAAATGAGACTGAGATAACTTTTTAAAAAGTTATCATATTGGACTGATGTTAAGCATAAGAAACAGCTAGTTGAAAAGCCTAAGCTGCCTTATTACCTGTTAGGGTCAGATCTCCACAAATCAAAGATGGTGGTGATCACTGCAAATATGCAAATTCATTTTGTTCTGCAGATTGATGAGTGGAAACTGCTTGACCACACCTGTCTCCTTTAGAATTTAACAAGTCTGTGCTATGTGCAATGTTTGGCATCTCTCATGTGGCTAAAGATTGCGCTATATGTGGTTTGGGGAACGTTTTGCTAGAATGAGTACTTGTTATACTTTTTAGATTCTTTTGGTGTAGCTTAAATAATCTTATATATCTGATTTAATCTTTAGCTTAGAAAGGGTTGAAGGGCTTGATCAATTTCCCTTTAGAGATACCAAGATAATTACCTGCTTTGGTGAAATACCTTAGGCTGTAGCTATGGAAAGAAACCCAATTCTACCCAGATATTTAGAGGAAATTGCTCTGGCTGAGCTTGAGCAGAGGTAATGGAGAAAGGAATTTTTTTTTTAAGTTTTTGTGCTTTAATATATATGAAGAGGAAGGAGATTTAATATTTGGCTTTTATTTCTCTTGAGAAATTTATTCCTGGTAGGATGTTCATATTCAAATTTGGAGGCATTTTAATATTGCTGGCACTATGTTATTATGGAGTAATTTAGGCAGTCATTTGAGTTCATTACATGATTTCTACTGAGCTATAATAATGGAGAATGTGCCTGGACAGAATTTGCGATGGAGATATCTGAGAGAATATTTGGCCTCTCATGCCGAGTGGCTTTGTGGGTACCTCGATATGTGCATTTTTAAAAGTCATTTCATTGTGGTTTTGATTTGCATTTCTCTGATGGCCAGTGATGATGAACATTTTTTCATGTGTTTTTTGGCTGCATAAATGTCTTCTTTTGAGAAGTGTCTGTTCATGTCCTTTGCCCACTTTTTGATGGGGTTGCTTGTTTTTTTCTTGTAAATTTGTTTGAGTTCATTGTAGATTCTGGATATTAGCCCTTTGTCAGATGAGTAGGTTGCAAAAATTTTCTCCCATTTTGTAGGTTGCCTGTTCACTCTGATGGTAGTTTCTTTTGCTGTACAGAAGCTCTTTAGTTTAATTAGATCCCATTTTGTCAATTTTGTCTTTTGTTGCCATTGCTTTTGGTGTTTTAGACATGAAGTCCTTGCCCATGCCTATGTCCTGAATGGTATTGCCTAGGTTTTCTTCTAGGATTTTTATGGTTTTAGGTCTACCGTTTTAAGTCTTTAATCCATCTTGAATTGATTTTTGTATGAGGTGTAAGGAAGGGATCCAGTTTCAGCTTTCTACATATGGCTAGCCAGTTTCCCCAGCAACAAAACCACAATGAGATTCCATCTCACACCAGTTAGAATGGCAATCATTATAAGTCAGGAAACAACAGGTGCTGGAGAGGATGTGGAGAAACAGGAACACTTTTACACTGTTGGTGGGACTGTAAACTAGTTCAACCATTGTGGAAGTCAGTGTGGCGATTCCTCAGGGATCTAGAACTAGAAATACCATTTGACCCAGCCATCCCATTACTGGGTATATACCCAAAGGAGTATAAATCATGCTGCTATAAAGACACATGCACACGTATGTTTATTGCGGCACTATTCACAATAGCAAAGACTTGGAACCAACCCAAATGTCCAACAATGATAGACTGGATTAAGAAAATGTGGCACATATACACCATGGAATACTATGCAGCCATAAAAAATGATGAGTCCATGTCCTTTGTAGGGACATGAATGAAATTGGAAAGCATCATTCTCAGTAAACTATCACAAGAACAAAAAACCAAACACCACATATTCTCACTCATAGGTGGGAGTTGAACAATGAGATCACATGGACACAGGAAGGGGAATATCACACTCTGGGGACTGTGGTGGGGTGGGGGGAGGGGGGAGGGATAGCATTGGGAGATATACCTAATGCTAGATGACGAGTTAGTGGGTGCAGCGCACCAGCATGGCACATGTATACATATGTAACTAACCTGCACAATGTGCACATGTACCCTAAAACTTAAAGTATAATTAAAAAAAAAAGTCGTTTCATAGAAAATTAATATTGCCTATCCTGGGTCTCAGGATGGTCAATAAAGGAGTGGGCATTGGAACTTGAAGAATAGCCACAGGAACGGCAGGAACAGTAACTGACTGATAAATTGTGGGACCTGTTCTTTAGGGACCAGCCATATACAGCAGTTTTGAATGTTTAAAGAATAAGAATTATATGAGGACAGGAAGGCACATTCTCTCTCTTTCCCTCTTTCTCTCTGTCTCCTTGTTTCTATCTGTCCAGGGTCTTCATGGCTATCTCTTTAGATCTGTGATCTGCAGGTGCCTGCATCCCCTTTCCCCTACATGGAAAGCCCTCTGGGCCAGGCCTGGTGAGGCAAGACCAAAGCTGATCAGAGGCTCTGCCAGGTGTCAGAGAAACTGATTAAAAACAGTAAACCAACATGAAAGTAATGGTCAAGCCTTTAACCACTCACTGAGATGGTACAACCAATGTCTAAAATTGGAGAAAGCACTAGCTCTCAGCATTCCTTTTTCACCATGAAATGATGTGCTTGTTGAGGGCAAGGCCATCTCACTGCTGAAGGACCCCTGAACAAAAAGCTTCTGCAGTTATATGGACTCAGGTGTTGTGGGGAGGGAAAGGGAAAGGTCTGGACATATAAAAGTATTCTGTACTGATCTGAAGTAGTGAAAAGTGTCTTCAAGGTTGTCCCTCCCTTCCCTTGATAAAAAAACTCCAGCCGAGATGCCTGAAGAAGGCCTAGGCTGAAGGCCCCAAATAAAGAGGACTCCAAATGAATGGTTTGAATGTGTCCCCCACTGTTAATGTGTTGGAAACTTAATCCCCAGTGCAACAGTATTGGAAAATGAGGCCTATTAAGGGGCGATAAGGTCATGAGGGCTCTGCCCTAATCAATGACTTAATGTCACTATTGTAGGAGTGGGTTAGATATCTCAAGAGTAGGCTTGTTATAAAAGCAAGTTCGGCCCCTTCTTACTCTCTGGCTCTCTTGCCTTTCTCTCTTCTGCCATGGGATGACGCAGCAAGAAGGCCCTTGCCAAATGCCAGCTTCTTGATATTAGACTCCCCAGCCTCTAGAACTGTGAGAAACAAGTTTATTTTCCTTATAAATTACCCAGTGTTTGGCATTTTGTTATAGCAACACAAAATGGATGAAGAGAGGTGCTTGGCTTAGAAATACAAATACGAGTGAGAGCAGAAGGACCTGAGTCCTTGACTGCAACTCCCTTGAAAGACTGCAATTCACTGGCTGTGGCCAAATTTAATGGAGAAGGCAGCTTTTCCCCAGGAGGTCTCCCAGGTAAGGCCTTTGTAATTGCCTAGGATTTGGCTTGATAAATCATTTACATAGGAGTTTGGCCAGGAATCAGATTCCTTATACTGAGCTCTGTATCTGGCAAAAATACCTTCTCCATAAGGTCACTATGAGAATAAAATAAAATAAATTAAAATTAACACAGCAATTATAATAGTGCCTAGCACAAAGTTAACGCTATATTTATTTATTTATTTTTAACTAAGCAAATGCAATAGCAAGTGCTCAATAAATGTTAGCTATTTGGGAATTATCCAGAATCTGACTATGTATCTCTACCCTTCCACTCTGGTCCAAACTATCCCTAGATGATTGCAATAGGGGTAGAAAATACACAAGAATATTCACCACTGAGTACATGAAAAAAGAAAGGTGATTTTTTTTCTCCTTGAAATTCAGTAATTTTCTCAACAAATAAAGGATAATTGAATTCAAATGTTACCATTTTGCAGCTCCGATAATTAATGGAAACTACTCATTGATCATCAACAGCTGCTAACATCACAAAAAGAAAGGTAAACAGAAGTTATGTAACTCCTGAAGGAAAAACACATCACCTGCTACCTTGCCAAAAAAATTAAACCTGTATCTTATCAGGTATCTAGAACTAATAATTAATTTACAGGGAATGCAGAGAAGAGAGGAACCCACTAATTGACATCATGGAGAGGCAATTAACAAAATCTAGACCTTGGGAAACTCACAGGACAAACAATCTAGTTTCTGCAATATGCATTTTAAGGTCAGTTATGGAGTGGGAACCTGCAGATTAAAATAGATTTAAGACATAAATAACTAATTATATTACATAATTCTAATTTGGATAGTTATATAAACAAGCTGTGACAAAGAAAAAATGTATTTACAACACACACATACACACACACACAATTTCAGCAACCTAGGCATAGAATATTAACTTCCCCAGTCAACGGCCCCACAATATAACCACTATTCTAACCTCTATCACCATAGTGCTTTGCCTCTTCTTGACCATTTTATGGACGAAATGATATATGTGTATGGTTTCTTTTTGCTTAACAGTATGTCTGTGACGTTCAGTTGTATTATTGGCATGTAACAGCAGTTCATTTAAAGCAATATATTTTGAAAATCTGTATGAACATAAGGTGTTACCCATTAGAGAAATGATGTATTTAGCATTTAAAAAATCACTCAACACATATGCAATAACTTATAAAACTTGGTCCTTGCAAGAGATGTAAAATTTAATGATATGGAGCTCCTCCTTATGCAAAGCATTTTTCTAGGTTTAATATATAAATAACTACATTACATAACTTACTTGGATAATTATACAAACAAGCTGTAACAAAGAAAAAATGCATTTAACTCACACACACTCAAACAATTTCACATAAGAAATGCGGGATAAAAAATGCGACCTTAACTCTCCAGAAATTTATAATCTAACTGGGGAGACAATCCATAGGCAAGAAAAACACCCGACATTTAATAATTCAAAGGATCAATAGAAGAATGTCACAGGTAAAATGTGATTCATTCACATACTGTACAGTTCATCATCGTTACTAGATTTCAGGCCGGGCGCGGCGGCTCACGCCTGTAATCCTAGCACTTTGGGAGGCCGAGGAGGGTGGATCACTTGAAGTCAGCCTGGCCAACATGGTGAAACCTGTCTCTACTAAAAATACAAAAAAATTAACCGTGAGTGGTGGCAGGCACCTGTAATCCCAGCTACTCACGAGGCTGAGGCAGGGGAATCCCTTGAACCCGGGAGGAGGAGGTTGCAGTGAGCAGAAATCGCGCCACTGCACTCCATCCAGCCTGGGAGACAGAGTGAGACTCCGTCTCAAAAAAAAAAAAAAAAAAAAAAAAAAGAGTTCACAAAAGGAATAAATCAATGTAGCTGCTGTGGGCCAAATTTATGGAGAAAATGGAATTTAGGCTCGATCTTGGAAGAAGAATTAAATCCAGAAAAGCAAAAGAAGAAGGATAGTCCAGGTGGGAGAATGGTGCATAAAAGCTTTGATAAATTTTAGAGAAAGTAATTAAATCAACTTAGCTGTGTTGAGGGGGGCAGTATTTGTGCATTTATTTCCAGTTTTGCTACAGTATAATTGATATAAAATACATTTTACATATTTAAAGTAATACAATTTAATATATAAATATGTGTATTTCTGTGAAACCACTACCACAATCAAGATAATATTTATCACCATCAAAAGTTTTCTCACATCCCATAGCAACGCCTCACTTTCACTCTCTCTTCATCTTGGTTGCTTCTCTAAGTATAACTGTTAGAGATGCATATGTGTTGCTGCAAGTATCAATTGGTTATTATTTTTATTGCCAGCTACAATTGTAATGTTTGGATATACCACAATTTGTTTATCCATTCACCTGTTGATGAACCTTTGGGTTATTTCTAGTTTTGGGGTAATACAAATAGATTTGTTATAAGCATTCATGTGCAAATCTTTGTAGAAAAATATATTTTCATTTATCTTAGGTAAATATCACAAAGTGGAATAGCTGGATTTTATGTTTTTTTTTTTTTTAAAGAAGCTACCATGCTGGGGGCCAGTGGCTCACACCTGTAATCCTATCACTTTGGGAGGCGAATCTTTTGAGCCCAGGAGTTCAAGAGCAACCTGGACAACATACAGAGACCCCATCTCTACAAAAAAATACAAAAATTAGCCAGATGAGCTGGCGTGTGTGTGTAGCTACTTTGGAGGTTGAAGTGGGAGGATTGCTTGAGCCTGGGAGGCCAAGGCTGCAGTGAGCTGTGATTGCACCACTCCACTCCAGCCTCTACAGTCTAGGCAACAGAGACCCTGTCTCAAAACGAAACAAAACAAGCAAAAAAGAAACTGTCAAATGGGGTTTCAAAGTTGTACTATTTTACATTCACACCAGCAGTGAACTAAAGAACTAAACGTTCCACATCCTCGTTCATATTTGGTAAGGTAAGTCTATTATTTTAACATTTTTAGGAGATGTGTAGTAGTATCTTATTGTGCTCATAATTTGCTTTTCCTTAATGAGTAGGGATATTGAGCATTCCTTCATGTACTTATTTGTCATCCATAAATCTTATTTGGTGAAATATTTGCTCAAATCTTTTTTCCTTTTTGAAAAATTAGGTTGTCTTCTCATTAAGTTGTAAGAAATCTTTATATGTTCTAAGTACAAATTCTTTGTTTAATATATGTTTTGAAAATATTTTTCTCTGGCTTTCTTTTTCATTTTTTTTGATGTTTTGTTTTTTGAGATGGGGTCTTGCTCTGTCATCCTGGCTGGAGAGTAACTGCTGCCCTGAACTCCTGGGCTCAATTGATCCTTCCACCTCAGCCTCCCGAGTAATTGGGACTACAGGCACAAGCCACCATGCCTGGCTCTTTTTCATTTTCTTAAAAGTTTCTTTTGAAAAGCAAAAGCTTCGAATTTATTGATTTGCTATTTTAAAGTCTGTGCTTTCTATCATATTAAAGAAATATTTGCCAAACCCTAGGTCACTAGAATTTTCTCCTATGTTTGCTTCTAGAGGGTTTATAGTTTTAGCTTATATATTTAGTTTTGTTAAAGAAAAATCTGAGACACAATAAATTTTAAAGAGTTTATTTGAGTAAGAAGCAACTCATGAAATGTGGAACATCAGACCACAAAATGTTCAGCGTTCCAATGACAAAATATCAGAGGCAAGTATTTATTGGGAAAACGCTAAAGCAAAATAAAGAAATTATTTTACAAAACTGCCTTTTAAAGGTACCTTATTGGGAAGTTCCTTATTTTAAAGATACTTTATTGGAAAGTTCCTTATCACATAATCAT
The DNA here is from genome assembly GCF_000001405.40 of Homo sapiens. NCBI lineage: Eukaryota > Metazoa > Chordata > Mammalia > Primates > Hominidae > Homo > Homo sapiens. The sequence goes on along the minus strand of NC_000012.12, from coordinate 29,011,878 downwards.
ATATTAGTTGGTTGTTTATGATTGACTGGGGTTAAGTTTTAGTTCTGTCTAACACAAACTTTTATCAGAAATGACTCAAGTTAACTTTTGTTTATACTTAGAATTTAATCAGTTAAGGCTTTGATAAAAGCAAAGTTAAGATCTTTAAAACATAGTATTATTTGCTCAGGATTTTTTTAGGCTCAGTTTCTATTTTATTTTGCTTTAACAGGTGTATCCATTTCGAGTTAATTTTTGTACATTGATGAAGGTAAGAATGTAGGCTGATTGTTTGCATGCGGTTAGCTCATTGTTACAGCACAGTTTGCTGAAAGATTGCCCTGGGCCCATTGAATTGCCTAGTATCTTTTGTCCTAAATCAATTGACCATATATGTATGAGTCCCTTTCTGAATGATTTTTCATTCTATGGATCTATTTGTCTGTTTTTATACCAATGCCACATTATCTTGATGGCTATAGCTTTGAAATAAGTCTTGGAATCAAGAGGTGTAAGTCTTCCAAAACTGTTTTTCTTTTTAAAGTTATTTAGGAAAGTCTACCTCTTTTGCATTCCCATATAAATTTAAGAATCAACTTTTAAATTTCTACAAAAAATGTCTGCTTGGATTTCATGAACAGAATACATTTATCCATTTACTTAGGTCTTTTAAATTTTTTCGTACAAATATATTACAGTTTTCAATGTAGAAGTCTTACACAACTTATGTCAAATCTATTCCACAATATGTTATGTTTTGATGCCATTCTAAATGATATGTTTCTTAAAAAATAAATTTCCAATTTTTTTTGCAGCTATGTAGTATAGTAATTTTAAAATATTGATTCTGTATCTTGCAACCTTGCTAAACTCAATCATTAGATTTAGAAATATTTTTGTTGATTTTGTAGAATGTTCTACTTTAATAATCCTTCATAAGAAACAGATTTTTAAGAAAATTGTCCATTTCCTAAAATTTATCAAATTTATTGGCATAAATTAATCATATTTCCTTAATATCCTTTTAATATCTGAAGAATCTGTAGCATTGTCAACTGTCTCATTCCACATGTTAGTAATATGTGTCTTCTCTTGTTATGAACTAAATTGTACCCCCTGAATTCATATTTTGATGCCTTAACCCCCAATGTGACTATATTCAGAGATAGGGGCTTTAAGGAGATACTTAAATGAGGACATAAGGGTGAGACTCTAATGAAATAAGACCTTTTTTTTTTTTTGAGACAGAGTCTTGCTCTGTTGCCCAGGCTGGAGTGCAGTGGCATGATCTCAGCTCAATTTCTGCCTCCTGGGTTCAAGCTATTCTCATCCCTCAGCCTCCCAAGTAGCTGAGACTACAGGCATGCACCACCATGCCTGGGTAATTTTTATATTTTTATTAGAGATTAGGGTTTTGCTATGTTGGCCAGGCTGGTCTCAAACTTCTGGCCTCAGGTGATCTGCCTGCCTCGGCCTTCCAAAATGCTGGGATTACAGGAGTGAGCCATCGTGCCCGGCCTGCAATGGACCTTTTAAGAAGAGAAAGAGATACCAAATCTCTCTCTCTCTCTCTCTCTTCACAAATAAAAGGATATGTGAGGACATAGAGAAAAGACAGCCATCTGAAAACCAAGGAGAGAGACATCACCAGAAACCAACCTTGCTGCCACCTTGATCTTTGACTTCTAGCCTCCACAACTGTGAGAAAATTAATTTCTGTTGTTTGTTTAAGCCACCCAGTCTATGGAATTCTGGATGGCAGCCTGCGCAGATTAATAGAGATTTGGCACCTGGTGTGGAGTGTTGCTGTGAAAGTGGCTTTGGAACTGAGCATTGGGTAAAAGCTAGAAGAGTCTTAAGATGCATGCTAGAAAAATCCCAAGTCACCTTGAAGGGACTGTTACTAGAAATGCAGACGTTAAAGATGATTGTGGTGAGGGCTCAGAGTGCAAACAAGAAGGCTCTGGAGAAAGCTTCTATCATCTTAGAGAATACACATATCATCATGAACAAAGCACTGGTAGGAATATGAACATTAAAGGTCTTTCTGGTAAGGATTCAGACAGGAATTAGGAGATGAGAATTGGAGGAAAAGGCAGTCTTTGTTACAAAGTAGCAAATAACTTGAAATTATGAATTAGTGTGTTTGGGAAAATGGAATTTGACGAACTTGGATATTTAGTTAAGGAGATTTTTCAGCAAAGTGTTGAAGAAGCAGTCTGACTTCTTTTTACTGCTTACAGTAAAATGTCAGAGAAGAGCGAGAATTGAAGAAGAAATTGTTAAGCAAAAGTAAATCGGATCCTAAATATTTAAAAATTCTTACTCTCTGCTGCAAAAAAATGAGAAAGTATGTTCTGAGGAGAACACCAAGGGTATAATTGTACAATCACTGTATAAAGAGATGACCCATGGATTTAATCAGCCATCTCAGCAGAAGCCAGAGTGGAACAACAGAGCTATCTGGCTGTGAACATGCCTTACCCTTCCAGAAAAGGGAAGAATGACCTCAAAGGCAATTCAGAGATTGGCAGCACTGCCACTGTTACCACAGGCCCGGAGCACACACTCCTTGTTGGTTTCAGAGGGTATGGCCTCTTCCTTGGTTTCAGTGGGTCAGGTTGCTCCTATGTGAGGCTTCAGAGGCAAGATCACCACTCATGTCCAAGAAAGTGAGGCCACTGCCCCCGTGGGCCCAGAAAATGAGGCTGTCACCCCGGTGGTCCCATAGGGCAGAACATCCAGCTGAAGAAGATTATTCTCAGGCCTTAGAGCCCATGAAATTTGCCTTGTTAGGTTTTGGACTCACTCAAGACTCATCACCCTTTCTTCTTTCTCATTTCTGCCTTTTGGAATAGTAATGCCTATCCTATGCCTGCCCCACCATTGCAAAAATAGGAATCACAGGTTCAGAGCTAGAGAGGAATTTTGACTCAGGATGAATCATACCTTGAGTCTCACCCATACCTGATTTAGATGATATTTAGATGAGACTTTGGACTTAGAATGGATACTGGAATGAGTTAAGATTCAGGGCTCTTGGAATGGGGTAAACATATTTTGGATGTCAGAAGGACTTGAATTTGGGGTGGGGACAGAGGGTGGAATGTTGTAGATTAAATTGTGTCCCTCCTCCCCATTACATGTTGAAGCCCCAACGCCCAATGTGAATGTAATTGAAGATAAAGCCTTTAAGGAGGTAATTAAAATTAAATGAAGATGTAAGAGTGGAACTCTAATCTGATAAAACTGGTGTCCTTGTAAGAAAAGGAAGAGACTCCAAATCTCTCTCTCTCTCTCTGTCTCTCTCTGTGTCTCTGTATGTATTTAAGTAGATAAATGGCCATATGAGGATACAGTGAGAGGGTGGCCATCTGAAAACCAAAGGGAGAGGACTTAACAGAAAATAATATTGCTGGCACTTTGATCTTGATCACTTTGATCTTAGTTTCCGGAGTTAAGGTGATAAATTTCTGTTGTTTAAGACATCCAATCTATAATATTCTGTTATGAAAGCCCAAGCACAACAATATATCCTTTTTTGTTTGTTTCTTGATCATACTAGCTAGAGGCTTATATTTGACAGTTTTTCAGAAAAAGAGAACCTAAAGGATATACACATATGGGTAAATCACAAAGTTAATCATATGTTTCCTTAATATAGTTTTATTGCCTAAATAATCTGTAGTGTTGTCAACTCTCTTATTACAAATACAGTAATATGTTTTTTTCTCTTGTTATGGCCAAAATTGTACCTCCTCACCCCCAATTTGTATGTTGAAGCCCTAACTCCCAATGTAACCGTATTCAGAGATAGGGCCAAGAAGTCACACAATCTGCCATCAGCAAGCTAGAGACCCAGTAAAGCCAGTGGTGTAATTCAGTCCAAGTTTGAAGACCTGAGAACCAGGGAAGCCACTGGTATAAAATCCCAGCCTAAGCACAGAAGATGAGATGAGATGTCCCAGCTCAAGCAGTGAGGCAGGAAAAAATAAGTCAGTTCCTTCTTCTTCCACTTTTTGTTATATACAGACCTTTAACAGATTGGATGATGCTCCCTCACATTGGGGAGGACAATCTACTTTACTGAGTCCACTGATTTAAATGCAAATCTCATCCTGAAACATTCTTACAGACATACCCAGAATAATGTTTTATCTGGGCACCCCATGGCCCAGTCAGTTTGATGCATAAAATTAATTATTACAACATTTATCAATTTAATTGATCCCCAAACAGATTTTGTTTTCATTACATTTTTCTATTGTTTTTCTGTTTTCTATCCCACTTACCTCTGTCTGCTTTTACTGTTATTTTTTCTTTTAATTATTTCATGTTTAATTTTTTTTCCCAAAGTTTCTTAAGGTAGAGGTGAAATTATTGAATTAAAACTTGGGGTTCATTTTTGAGATAGGATCCTGTGTCTATGGGTTTGTTACCCATTTTCATTTCAGACGCTGTATTTTTCATCATTAGAGATAGATTTTTGGTATTATATTCTCCAGGTCTCTAGTTAACAAGCTTAGTACTTCCTCTACCTGCTTGAACTTTTGGAGTAGAGTTATAAGTATCCTTGTTATCCTTGTCCACTATTTTATCATCTGTCTGATTTCTGAGACTCTGCATGATTGATTTTAGTCCTCATTATGGGTTGCATTTTCTTCTTTGCATGTCTGCTATTTATAAAACAGATTTATTTTGTAGGGCATCTTCAAATTACGGAAAATTTGTCCAGATAATACGGAGAGCTCCCATATGATCCCTCTCCCTCAGCACAGTTATTTCTATTACTAACTTCTTGCTTTAGTGTGGCACATTTGTTACAATTGATGAACCAATATCAATACATGATTGTTCACTGAAGTTCATACTTTACATTATTGTTCATCTTAGTGTTGTATAGTTTGACAAATGCATAATGTCATGCAGCCACCATTACAGTATCATGTAGAATGGTTTCATTGGCTTAAAAATGTCCTGTGCTTTACATATTTACCTCTCCCTCCTCCCTTGGAGGCCTGGAAATCAGGGATCTTTTTACTCCTTCCATTGTTTTGCCTTTTCCAGAATGTCATGTAATTGGAATCATAAAACTGTGTAAGATTTTCCCTCTGGTTTTTAGGTAATTCTTTCCCCAGCTTGGGCAGTTTCTTCACATGCATATCATGCTCAGTACTCAGCTGAAGAAATGAGGGTGGGATTCTGTTGCTTTGGGGGACTTCTTGTCTGTGCAGGCCTCTCCTTTCTGACTCTTTGCCTGAATACTCTAGCCTCTTGGACATTTCCAAAGTCACAAATCTTGTCTGTTCTACTTTGGGAGATAACTGGGCAATTCCTGCATTTTCCTTCCCTGTGCAGAGGCCTGGAAACCTTTGCTGGGGTAATCATGGGGATCATCTAATTTTGTATCCATTCTCTTGGAGATCACTGCACTGTTTGATGTCTAATGTCTGAAAACTATTGTTCATTATATTTTATCTTTTTTAAAAGGCAGTTTTTTAGGTGGGAGGGTAAATATAGTCCTAGTTTCTACATCTCTGTGAAAATGAAAATCATGTTAATTTTTAATAGAGAAAAGATTCTTCAATTTTAGATAATTAAACATTATTTGGAGGGAGGGCTTTTAACTCCTGGTCTCTACTTCATAGAGATCTACTTAATCAGGCTGTCTGGCAAAATTTGGGTATTGGCATTTTTACATGACTTCCTGAAGTCCTGGTGCAGATTGTCAAAGTATTAAAATTTAAGAAACACCTATATCTTAGTCTGTTTGTGTTGCTATAAAGGAATGCCCAAGGCTGGATAATTAATAAAGAAATGAGGTTTATTTGTCTCGTGGTTCTGCAGGATGTACAAGAAGCATGGCGCCAACACCTACTTCTGACAAGGGCCTCAGGAAGCTTCCACTCAGGGGGGCAGCCAAGGGGAGCCAGCATGTGTAGATCACATGGTGAGATAGGAAGCAAGACGGGGAGGAAGTAGCCAGGTTCTTTTTAACAATCAAGTCTCAGGGGAACTCTCACAGGAAATAATAGAGCGAGAACTCACTCACTACCACGAGGATGGCACCAAGCCGTTCATGAGGCATCGGCCTCCATGACCCAAACACTTTCCATTAGGCACCCCCACTCCAACATTGAGGATAAAATTTCAATATGAGGTTTGGAGGGGCAAATATCCAAATTATAACAACAAAGACAAGTAACTTAAAAGGAAGTTGGACTGAAAAATCAGAATCCCTTTGTGGAAGCTTTTATATAAATAATGAGAAACTATTTTAGGTTTTCATAACGTCCAAGAGAAGTTTTATAAGACTATTCTGTCAGCTTTTCAAATTAAGGCCAATATTACCCAAGTGTATACTCTTTAGCCGTAGATGAAAAGAAACCCCTAGGAACAAATGAAAGTTTAAATGAAACTGCTCATTTAAATTAAGAATGTTAGTGGCACTTTGATTACATGTGTTGCTCAATCAAAATGGAAGGCTATTTTTTTTTAGCTTCATTTAAAAAACTGCCAGGACAATATAGCTGCCTTTAATTACACTCTTCTTTTGATGGGCTTTTATATATTTAATTCTACTTCTCTATTACCAGTGCTTAAAAGAAGAAAAAAGCTTTAAAACCTTTCTGATGAAAGACAGCTAAGATAAAAGATTTCATCAACAATCAACTATAAAAATTATTAACATGAGCCCATTCAGTTATGAAATAATGAAAATACATAGATCACAGTTTGTTTCATGGCTCATGTCAGTGAGTGAATACATTGCACAGACAGGAATATTAAGAAACTCAGACAGAGGCTCTGATAACACTCATTAATTAAATGAAAGGTCTCTGCTTCAACTCGGTTGCTCGACATTTTCCTCTCCTCTGTCAGCATGTTTGTTTCAAAATAACTTTTCACAGACTTGATAGATTCTGACAAAACTTGGAACACTCCAAGATTTACCCATAATCTCAAGTCTGAATTCTCATTCAATCGTGAAACAAAAATTGTTTCTGTTTTATTTACAGAATGGAGAAAACCATCACCATAAGATATTACTATGAAGTTATGTAGTTTTGTAGAAAACAGAGATAAAGATGCTGTAATAATTTCAAGTCTATAATTTGTGGCATCAGCAGTATTTCAAACAACACCGCAATTTTTCTTCTGCCCAAATGAATATGGTCTTTCATCTTGCTCATGCAGCTCATCTGTATACCACCAATCAGTTTGCTAGACCCTTGATAACTTTTTAAGAAGACTGACCAAGTGTGTTAAACTTCCCGGAGGTATCAAATTTAATCTGAGTTGAATCTGTGGCTCACTCCATTTTTTTATTTAAAATTGTAATCAATATAATTTGTCAAAGCTTGTCATTTATACTTTCAAATACATTTTTGTTAAATTTGATATATGATCAGAGTGACTAGATTATAAATGAATTTATCAAGAAAAAAGCTGAATCTGCAAATATTAACAATTATATATACATTGGCCCTAGGCAAAAAATCACCACTAATGAACATCATGAAACAATTTATTATTACTCAAAAGACTTCTGTGAGGCAGATTAAAGCCTTGGCATCATAGAAGGTCAGAATCAAAAGAACCCCAAAGGGTATTGTGAAATCACATATCTGATCTTTGGATTCCTTGCACTGCATCTCTGACAAACTCAACTTGGGCTTTAATGTCTCAGTGACTTGCACCTCACTTCTTTTGAAGCAATTTATTCTGTCTTTAGCGAGTTTGAACTAACGTTGATCTTAAGTCGTTTCTCTGTATCTTTCATACATTGATCTCACTTTTCCAATGGAGCCATCAAAAACAAGTCTCATCCTGTTCCACATGAAAGTCCTTCTCACGTTTGGAGAAAGCGCTGTGCTCCCTGAGGACTCTTATTGCAGGAGAAAATATTCCCATTTCTTTCAATTGCTTCCACTTACCATGGTTTCCTTATCCTGGCTGTTCTCTTTTGAACTGGCAAAATTTGAAAAAAGAAATTTTTGTTTTAAAAAGTCTTACAAATAATTCTTCAAACATTCATTGAGTGAGTATTAGGTTGGTGCGAACTAATTGCGGGTTTTGCCATAATGGAGATTGATACAAAGATACTTTGGAAAGTATCTTTGTGTCAGTCTCCATTATCTTTGCCATAATGGCAAAAACGGCAGTTTTGTTAGCACCAACCTAATAAATGAATAAATAAAATTTATTGGTGAAGAAAGGTGAACTGCAAAAGAAGGCAAACAACTGGGTCTATATATTGAATATTAGTGCTAATTTTAGAAAAAAACAATTACTGTCTTTCAATTTTTTACTTGTTTTCTGGGCAGATTTAGGGGAAGTTATGAACAAATACTCATCTCATATATGTGAAATAAAATTATAATTTCTAAATGCCCTCCAAATTCAAAACTGGCCTATTGACTTAGCAGTTTATTTGGATATTCATTCACAAACCAAAAATTGATGAAAATTTTCAAAACAAATAAAAGATTACAGTCACACTTCAAACTTATCAACCCCTCTGCCAAAGTTAATATAAAATAAGGACTTTCTTGTGGCATTTACATGCCCCACCCTCCACAGCAAATAAATAGTGCATTGTAATTCAGGAATTATTAGATTCTTTCTATTTCAAACCATTCCCACACTCTGCCTCAAGATTGACCAAGGGAAATAGCTATATTTCTAGAGAAGTGCTGTCCAATAGAATTTTCTGTGGAGATGGAAATATTTGATACGTACCTTATCTAATATGGTAACCAATAGCTACCTGTGGCTATTCAGTACTTGAAGTGGGCTAGTGAAATGGAGAAACTAAATTTTTAATTTTATTTAATTTAAATTAATTTAAATAACCATATGTGGCTAGTAGCTACCAAATTGAACAGAATAGCTTCAGTTGGTGAATTTTCAGATAACTTTGCCTCTTAGGGTAGTGTTTTCCAAGACATATCAGCTGTATTTAGATTTTTTTCCTCCCCAGTTAAATGTATTTTCTTCCAAGTTACTGTCATTATATAAAAGAGCAGTTTCAGCTATAACACTGGCATTATAAGTCATGGTATCTAAACAATTTTTTTCATTAGTGATCTTCACTTATTTTTCATGCATTTTACAATGCTGTTTTGTAATGTTTCTTTTGATACTTTAAAATAAAATGCTTCCTTGATTATCCTGATCAAGTTATCAGCTGCTATCAGCTGAATCAAGTTACCACTATAAGCTGATAATTAGTAAAGTGGGAATTTTCAAGGGAGAGAAGGAAAAAGGAAAGAAAAGTAATTACTTTTCAAAGTTAAAATGCCACATACGCAACAGAGATTGCCTTGAATTTTAAAACCACTATCTTAAAAACCAAAACCAAAACAACAATTGGGACATCTCAGATATCAAGTCCTGGGATATAAATAATATTTGCCATTGATTCCAGTTTGATTTATGCTACATTGTAAATAAGCACTTAGCATATAAAATACCAAACATAAAATAGAAATGAGAATTTTTTAGCTTTTTTTTTGAGCGTTCTAAGGAGAGTTGCAAATACTTTTCAAAGAATTCATACTGCAGATCTTTTTTTAAAACCCTAGAAATCTCAGACTTGGAGATGTTGCAAGGGGAGCATCCCTTGGTAGTTGTGGGCATTTTCAAAGACTTGTTGCTCTTCCTTGTGGAATTGTTCAGCTGGTCTGCTGATGGTCAGCTTGACTTTAGATGATAGTAAGCAATGAATGACCAGAGAGGCTGATAATCAGTTGCCTAAAGACTTCACTGTCACAAACAAAACAAAACAAAACAAAACAAAAAAAAAAACAAAAAAAAACCACTTCCTAGTTCCATCTGTGTTTCTTTATGACACTTATTCTTCAAAACAAAATCCATCCTATTGTTCAAAGTCAAGCTCAAATGTCACCACCTAATCTGGAGCCTTCTCTAGTCATGTGAATTACAGCCCTCTTTTTCTCCTGACCCCTATACTACGATCCTCCTCACACACTGTCCTCACCCACAAGTGATCTTTGTAGTCCAGGAGGTCATTTAAGCAGGACTTACATATCAAAGCACCTTTGTATAAATCTCGAGAACTTAACACTATCCAAGCCCACTCTCATCTTTAAAATGGGAATGATAGCTCACCAGCTTCACATATTATAATGAATACTATTGCAGCATAACAAGTTTCCCAAAACTTAGCAGTTTAAAACAACCATTTTATTCTGCTCCTGATTTGTGGGCCAGGAATTTAGGCAGGATTTTTCTTTTTGTTGTTGTTGTTGTTTATAATTTTTTAATTTTATTTTAAATTCCAGGATACATGTGCAGCTTTGTTACATAGATATACATGTGCCATGGTGGCTTGCTGCACCTATCAACCTGTCATCTAAGTTTTAAGCCCCATATTCATTAGGTATTTGTCCTAATGCTCTCCCTCCTCTTGCCCTCCATCTCCTGGGTTGTTCCCCTCCCTGTGTCCTGGTGTGTGTTGTTTCCTTCCCTTTGTCTATGTGTTCTCATTGTTCAACTGAAAAGACTTGGAAGCAACCAAAATGCCCAACAATGATAGACTGGATAAAGAAAATGTGGCACATATACATCATGGAATACTATGCAGCCATAAAAAAGAATAAGATCATGTCCTTTGCAGGGACGTGGATAAAGCTGGAAGCCATCATTCTCAGCAAACTAACACAGGAACAGAAAACCAAACACCACATGCTCTGACTCATAAGCAGGCAGGGTTTTTCTAGGTAGTTCTCACTGAGGGTCACTCATGCGGATGTTGTCAGATGTTGGTTGGAGCTGCAATTATCTGAAAGCTCAATTGTCTTGTTGTCCAAAATGGGTCACTCACATGGCTGCAGTTCATCAGAGCACTGACAGGCAGCCTCTCCAGTATGGCAGTGTCAGGGTGATCAGATTTCCCACATGGAAGTTTAAGGGCTCCCAGTGCAAGAGTTCTAGCAAACAAGGTGGAAGCTGCATTCCCTTTTATGACCTGGCCTTGGATGTTCACCATGTCACTTTTAATGTACTGTATTACTAGAAGTGGTCATAAGCCCATCCAGATTCAATGGGAGGGGAATTTTTGACTCCACCTCTTTTTTTTTTTTTTTTTGAGACAGTCTCACTCTGTCACCAGGCTGGAGTGCAGTGGTGCGATCTCAGCTCACTGCAACATCCGCCTCCCGGGTTCAAGCGATTCTCCTGCCTCAGCCTCCTGAGTAGCTGGGACTATAGGCACGTGCCACCACACCCAGCTAGCTTTTTGTATTATTTTAGTAAAGACGGGGTTTCACCATGTTGGCCAAGATGGTCTCGATTTCCTGACCTCGTGATCTGCCCACCTCGGCCTCCCAAAGTGCTGGAATTACAGGCGTGAGCCCGGCTTTGACTCCACCTCTTATTGGGAGATGACAAGGTCATATTGTAGAAGATTAGTCGAGATGGGTGATAGTGCCATGACCATCGTTGGAAAATACAATCTGCCACTTTTCAATAATACATATGAAGACGTTCTGGACCCCATAGCATTCTAGCCACAATTGCTTGTATCTTTTCTTCTTTTTCATCCTACAGCCTCTGAACTTGGATCTGTTTCATGCTATGCCAGGCCTGATACTCACCCAATGAGTTCAACTCAAGGTCTCTAGCATCAAATGCTTAATATGCAGGGATTGGGCAGTAACCTTCAGAACTGCTTTGTGTTTTCCATCTTGCTACTTTATATCTTTCTTTCCTCTTCATATCTTTTCACTGCTTTTACCTATTCCGTTGACCTTTTATCAAGATAGTTGTGTGTGCCCTATTTCTACTCATTGGTATTCTCAGAGTGTCCTCATCTTATCTCACCACTGCTAGGAAACAATAGAAAAGACTTAAGAAATGGAAATATTTGAAACATAATTTTGAGCTTAAAAAACTCATAACAGCTCCTCATAGTATCTAGTGATAAATATGAAGCAAGGGAGTTTTCATGAGTAGAAACATTTCAGCATTCATAGCAGAAGGTTAATTTTAGTTCTTTAATGTCCACTGGTTCTTATAAAGAGTGTGGAATTATTATCTTAGGCCAGATCTCCCTAGGTGAGATAGGTAATGTTATTATTTTTATTTTTATTTTTGTTTATTTATTTATTTTTGTTAAATGGGGAGTTGAGTGGGGAGAGAAAGAGAGAGAAACTCTTAATCTTTTTGCTCAGGATGCAAGTGAATTCCAATCAAAGTATCTGAGAAACATTAGACCCTAAGGAAATACTTGTTTAAAAACTAGCTGAATATAATCAATATTTACCAGTGTTAACCATGTAAATAAGTAGACATCAGTTAGTGAATTCAAAGAAGTGCAAAACTCAGTCATGGAACAAACTGGAATACAACATTTAATTACAAAAGTAAACAACAACTCAATTCTGTTTTTTGTAAGGTCCAAAGCATGGTACAACTAAAAATTATGATCTTAGGAAAGGTGGATGGAACTAGCATTCTTAGGACACATTCTGTGTGTGAGTTGGCCAGCTCCCATATCTCATTACATCCTCATGACAGTGCTGCAGCAGAGGAACAGAGAAGGGAACTGAGAGGACAGAGTGGGCAGGAAGGGTCCAAGGTTTCGTACCTTGCCTTGCAAGTGTCAGAGCCAGAACCAACCCAGAAGTCCAACAGCAACACCAACTTTCTATCCTTGGTTGTGACTCAAAGTCTCAGGATAGAAAGATTCCCTTTCCCACTTTTCGGGATACTTTCCAGCTTAAGCTTAGATGCTATCTCATGATTGGGTATTATTAATAGGTAATTCTGTGATGTTGGTTGTACCTTTTCTAAGAGACTAACTGGTGCCCAAACTGATCAGAGTTCAATTTTTCCAGTTGCCACTGGAGGGCTCCCCACTGTAAGTTTTATTGACAATCACCAGGTATTACTTAAACACTTTCTTTTTTCGGTCTCTTTCTGAAGTTTGATTAACTCCAGGCCTTTGGGAGTTTGTGAGTAACTATGTCACTCCTACAAATGAAGGATGAATAACATTTGGTTGGAACAGATTGAGTCAACTTTGGGCAGGGGTCATATAAGGATCTTGCCACACAGTTCTTTATGTACCCCTGAGGCCAGGCCGCCCACACGTGGCTTCTCATGTCCTGAGCCCACACATAATTCAGTCAATCTACCTGCACTTCTGACCTAGAGCACTGCATTTGCATTATGCCCTGTTTGCTCACTGCCCTCTATCTTCGACTTTGATCTAGGAGCCGAGGCCTTAGCCAGAGCAAGGACCTGACTTGTTCACTGATGGAGCCTCGGGATATCCCTCAAAGTGGGTGTCTTGGCTTTTCACCCCAATGCAGAGGAAGGCCCACCAGGGTGATCAAGGAGGTTTCAGTTTGCTCTCAGCCAAAATGGGTTCTCAGCTTGCTACAACTTTTCCCTGCTGGATACTATGTTTCCCTGCCTGATACATTAACAGCTTAAAATACAGAGAGATGGGGAAATGTTGAATACAGTGGAATAAACTGTGAAGGGCAGAATTTCCTATCTCAGCAAGATGAGATTTTTTGGATGAAGTCTGAGCCTTCCAAAATGTACCAAAAAGCATGACAGAATGTGGTGTTAGATTGGTCATAAGTACTTGAGCTTTAGAATAATGAATTCAGAAGGTTTATCTTGCTAGAAAGTTGTTTGGAAACTAAAGTGGAGCTTTAAACAGGGTCTCCTCAATGAAAAATCCTGCTAAAGTTTAAACAAGAATTATTTCATTAAAAAGTAAGTCACTCCAACTCTGGAATGATCTTCAACAGGATACTTATCTTCATCAGAAGAAATCAAGAGAGGGTAATGTCCTTCAGGACAAAATCAGGTAAACGCAAGAACTAGTCACCTGCTTCCCTGTTGTGTACAATCAGGAACAAAGGAAAAAAATTGACAATAATGGGATGCTGAATATCAGGTTCAGTACTATGCTTTTAAGACCAGAGCGCTAACGGAAAGCACATCGTCAAGGTGACCAATCAAATTCAGTCTTTTCACTTGGAGGTTCTTGGTCTGCTTAACCATTTGGCACTCCTTTGAGTAGAAATCATTGTTTTCAATGTAGAGACTGAAGTACAACAGCATAGAGTAGGCAAGCAATGGACTCAGGTTTGCCAAGTGAGTGGTTGATGGTAATGCAAATAGATCCATTCACATTTTTTCCTTATGTGTACTTATCATTAAGTAACTAGGTCCCACCGATATTGTAATTTTTATTTTCACTCACTCCAGCATTGGCTTTAGATGCTTGAGGTCTTTTGGCAGGAAATCTGTATGGGTCTTGCTAGATTAGCTGGTAGGCTTTTCAAGGAATCATGTCCCCCCAGCCCCAAGTGGTTTAATGTTATGAATTTCAAAAGTCAGGAACAAGACCACAAGCCAAATCCTGGGAGTAGAGCAGACACTCCTACTGGCTCAGGTTTGACTAGTTCAGTCAGAAGTCAATTAAATACCCACCAACCTATAGGCCTGACAGCAATTTTCCACCCCAGTGGGAGAGAAGTAGGCAGCAATGTCTGTCTCTGTGGTTTGGTTCTAATGACATTAAATTGCCAACACCAGTCTCTGCTGCTTTTATCTCAGAAAACCCCACCCTCGGAAGTTCATGTTCTGGAGTTCCACCCATGGCCTGGATTCTGGGACTCTGCTTGGGTGGTATGTAGAGTAAGTCTTTTTGGCTAGATTTCAACTACTGCATGAGCCATCATCATGGCTAAATAACTGTAGGTGGGAAGGCCTTTAAGACGTGGGCTACTAAGAGTCGAGGCAACCGCGTCTGCACCACTCTATTAATTATTTAATTGACTAACCAAGGAAATGGATATGTAATACTCGGAGAGCTTAGCCTTATCCTCTGTTCAATTTAAGCTAATTGTCAGTATTTCTGGAAAATGCCTATGTGGGTTTTTCTCAGTAAGTGCAGTCAGCAAGTCTGAACCGAACCCTCCTATGTCGTCTGACACAACTAGGTTTGGACTCATGCTTTGTGACATTGCATCACCAGGAGGACTTCGGTGGTGCTCTGGGCCAAGTGAAATCGGCTAAATGGCAAACACATGCCTTTATGAAATGAAATAGAAACTTCTCAGATGAAAATGAGCCTGAAAGAATTGGGTACTCTATCTTGAAATTTGAAATAGATTAAGCACAGAAAACTTAAACTTCTCAATCATCAGAGGCACAGAATAAGGAAAATTGTTTAAATGGAGATATAAGTGACAGTGACAAGAGGAACTATCTCTATGCATGGCTTATACACATTTAGACAAGCCAGAGAACAATTTCTGTTCATTCTTGGCACTGCTTTATCATAACATGGTTAGATAGTTTTCTGGATATGGAAGCTTGAATAGCATAGAACACCAGAATAACCTTGAAGAGTCTCTGGGCACACAGCTTATAACATCCAGGACCTGAGCTAGAAAAGCAATAATCATTTAAAGAGTTCACCCTTTTAGAATCATACAGAAAATAACTGTTAACTCTGAGCTCAAGATCTAAAATTTGGAACAGAGATATTGCCAATTAGATTGAAATAAGGGACCAGGTAGAATAAAGAAGTTTGTAAATTATAAAGTATCCTTTGTATTTCCATTAAAGAGCATTCTTGCTTCACAAATTTCTGGATTTTCTTGTCATCAGAGAGCCTTTTCTTCCGAGGCAGGTCTGCATGATAGGTGGTCTAAACTAGCCGACTCTATGCCAAGCAAGGTAAGAGAAGTTGAGAGGAAACAATATGGCATTTCTTTTTTCCGACTTTCAAATCAGAAGAGCATACCCAAGGTTAACAGAAAGCAGCTTGGGCCAAAGCTGTTTTCTTGTGAATTTTTTCATTTCACAGACCTTGTACACAGTACTCCCATGGACTGCTGGAGCCTTCCCCCAGGGAGGCTGAAAGGGAGACCGTTGATTTTTCAGAAAGATTGTGAAAATGCAGCCAAGCAAACAGGAAGGTGCCTCGAGTCTTAGAAGGGGGCCTTTCCTCTCCATCTGCAGTCACTGGGGCCCTGTGTGTGGGGAGTGAAGCCAAGAGAGAAAACTGAGCACCGTCTTTAGCATTCCCCATTACTAGTGCTGCCTCCCCAGCCAGTGGCTTCCGCAATGTGGATGTGGTGATATAAGATATATGTTTATGTATATATATGTGTGGCATGTGTGTCAAGTTATATACATATGCACATCCCTAAATAAGTACTCAGAGCATGCATGTAGTCCTGGGGTTGTTTTAGAGCATTCAAGTTTTGGAGGACATGAGGAATGATGTTGACAAAGAGGTTGATGCTGTCCCTGGCCACGAAGGAAGGCGCCCATCACTCATGCTCTGAATAGGAGGATGCACATGGAAATTTATGGTTTCTGATGGATGGAGAAGCACCCTGTGGACAATACATATATTTCTGAGCACCCACGTGAGGATGAGACACAGCAAAGGGGAAGTTGCTTCCTGTCATAGGAGGTACCGGTAGCACTGTATCCTAAAAATAAAGGATAGTTCCTTGCTGCCTGGGGAAGAGCTACCTCTAAAGCTGCAGGAGTAATCAGTGGAGTGAGCTCTAAGAAACTTCAGAGCCCTCACTGGTCACCTTAGGTAGCTCATTCCAGGTCTCTGTCCACCTTTCATGGGTTCATCATAGACATGAAGATGAAGTTGGAGTGAGGATTTCTGCTCAAGTCATTGGGTTGAGAAGCCAGGGCACATGAGATATAGATTCTCCTTCATTTTGGGCCTAAGAGGAGAGTAGATTTCCCAAGGCTTGAAAATAAAAACATGGTTGTGTTGTATCATTATGAAAAATGTTTAATTTTGAGTGACTGTAGAAGTCATATTTATACAGTAAAAGGAAGGTAGCTTTTATGAGATTCTTAAAGTACAATGCTGGCAGAGGACTGATGAATCTTGGGAGAAATCAGATGACTAAACTTGGCTGTAATGCACTTAAGTTAGAGACCCTGGGCAGAAAAATAAAGCATTCAGTAAGAGGGCAAGAAGGCCGGGCCTGGGAGCAGTACCGTTGGCAAGACCCTAATGTAAAGTAATAGTAATTATAGTCCTGGGAGGAAAAAGCCTGTTCTTCCCCCTTGCAGCCATAAACCCCAGGTTTTGCAACTGAAGCTCCTGGCCTTGGTTTTCATTTTGAGCTCTGCAGCAACAAAACACCTTTGGCCCAAATCTCTCACATTCTATTTTCAAAAAGTCAGGACTTAGAGTACTGGGGAGCCTATAATTTACTTAGTACCTGAAACAGTCAAATCTACCCCAAGGCATGGATGAAACTCAGATCTTCCTGCACAGGTTTTGATGGTCCCACCAAAGCACTTAAGGTTTTCTTTTATGTGCAGCATAATCATTATAATTCCCTCACTGAGTGCATTTTATATCTCTCGTAATGTAAGATAGAAGAGGGTGTGCTCACAGCTTGAATGTGGAGCCTAACGCTTGATTCTGTTTATAGGCCTTCTGCTTGCAAAACATGAAATGGTTTGCCAAGTTTAGAACCCCCTGGAAATCTCTGGATTTGGAACTCCTGATAGAATTCCAAATTTTTTTTTAAGGTTTGGGTTCTTTTAACTTTCGGCACAAATGTGACTTCCTGTTTCTAAGAAAAAAAAAAAAAAAAAAGCTTGAAAAAGTTCCATGAAAAGAACTCTTAAAGAGCCCTGGACATCCAGTGGTTTCATAAAACAATGTTTTGGTGAATTAAGTGTAAATGTGTCAGAAACATATGGGTTAAATTTCCCTTGAAAAAGGAGACAGAAAAGCAGACCAAACATACTTTAGGGTTTTGCCGAACCCAGCGCCATTTGAAACATACTTTGAGGTGTTTGGGTAAGTCCAAACTGACAGTGCTGCCTCCCTCCCCACACTGTGAATTTGCCATCCACAAATTCACAAGTAGGCAGATACCCATTTTTCAAACGGTTGTGGTGTTTGTACAGACAAGGAAGCACAAAGATCAGGGTGCAGCGCCACAGCCTGGAAACAAAGCAGGAGTCATCCAGACCCTGGACAGAGCACAGGCCTCACCTCCCTGCTCAAGTATTTCAGCTCTGAGCAGTGCACCAGGGAATAGCTGGCTGTACTTTTCAGGGCCCGATTACAAAGTACAGTTCCTGATATATGATATTGCAATAGAATGGTTTCAGATTCAACCTGAACCAACTGAAGCCTCTACTCCAGATATTAATTGGATCAATGACTAAGAATGGAAACGTTCCCCCAACTGCATGTTCCTCTCCTTTCCTCTTCAATCGAGTTCCTGCTTTTATCTCTTCTGGTGGCTGAGACCAGAAGCAAGAAGTCTCAAAAATAACCTCCAGGAAACATGTTCTCACGAGATTTCCAGCTCCATTCATGAAAGGCAGAAGTTTGAATACAGTTCACAGAAGCACCAAGATTTTGAGGGATTTGGGGGGAACAATAACCTTTCTTGGGTATCATCCACTTGCTGAGGTTGACTTAGGGGGCCTGCAGATTATGCTGCAGAGAACAATTGCCTTGGAGAGAGAATAAGAGGCCCAAAGCAGTGCGGCCACCTAGCAATTCAATTCTTCCAGTAATCAAAGAATCCCCAGAGAGAATAAAGACACTTCTCTTTTTCCATCCTGTTAGTTTTCTTAGATGACAATGTAGGTCTTGTCCCTTCACTTCTCAAAGATTCATTTTTCCAGCTGTATAGTAAGCTCCGACCACCTTCTTACGCTTTGGCCACCTTCTTATGAATAAATAGGGAAATGAAAGACTGAGAATGCTTCTGATTTATGTCAAGAGGATTGATTTTGTTCAGGCCCTCCTAGCCACACACAAGCTTCCTTCAACTCTTTTTAAGTGTTTTTGGCGATTTCCAGTAGTGGGAATGAATGTTTATTGGTGGCCACATCCAAAAGATGGAAAAGCTGAAAACCGAAGGTTCTCAGAACTTCCGAGGTCAAAACAGATTAGAACTAGTTTTAAAGAAGTGTATTTTAGTTGAAAGAACATTTGGCTTAGCGTCAAAAGAGTTGGGCAGAAGGCTTGGCATTTTTTGCCCCATAATTAAGTCAGATATACTGTTAGTTCCTCAGTTTCTCCATATTCCAGAAAGGGTGAATGCATATATTACCAGAATAACTGCTGGGGGGATAATTAAAATTCTTCAAACTCCTTGAGGGCAAGAATGTCAAATTTAAAAAAAAGTAAAGTAGATTACACAAAGCCTAGAATTATGGTGAAAGCAAGGATAGTATTGAGTATGTTAGGAAAATTGTTCATTTTTACCACCTGGTAGACTACATCTAATAATAGTGATTATTTATATGGTGCTTGCTATATGTTAAGTATTTTAAGGTGTTTTGTGCATATTAACTCAATCTTCATGACAACACTAATAAGTAGTTTTTTAAAAATTATTCTGATGGGGAAACCAAGGCACAGATAAGTCATTTGCCCAATTTGCCAACATAGTTTTGGTGAAGGCAGGCTTTGAACCAAGGCAGTAAACTCTGGAAGCCGTATTTCTAACCTTCATATGGTTAAGAACTTTTATCTTCAGGCGAGATGATCCCAATCCTACTTCTGAGTTAGTTCTCTGATCTTGAAAATATCCTCATGAATTTTTCTTCCTCTCATGTATTTTACAAGCAAATCATTATGTTGAAATAAAGTAGAACATACTCAAATCATTTCTTTGTAATTTGCCATCTCAATAGGCACAACCAGCAGAGACTTCTTCAAACAAACAAGCCTTGTCTTCATGTGGAAAAACTACTGTGTAGGTTGATGTAAAAGCCTATTTTCTTTTAAAAACAAACGTTCAAAAGAGGAAAATGGTCTGTCACCTTTCATTAAAAGTAGATCTGTTAAGTATCTGGAAAAGCAAGGAAAGTGTATAGACACTTATTTAAGTTGGTGTAAAAATCAATTCTGAGGAAAATCTCAAGGTAAGCTCAGAGTCTCGGAGGGAAAAAGGAGAGACAGCATGTCTAGTTTCATCAGAGAATCTTGGTGCCCACTGGATGGGTGAATTGTAAAGAGGAGGCCTTCTTTTATGATAGGGGTTGTATCAAAAAGCTAATTGTCTCACTATCAAAGGCCCAGCAGAAACAGGAGGGAGCATTTAAGATATTTGAAGTGCTGTGAGTGTACAATGAATGGTTTGCACGTAGGTATTGCTTTAAAGTAGAAGAAAGTGGTCTGCCAAATTGTGCTTAAGCTTCAAAATGCTGCTGAAGTCCTATATCCCTGTAAGGCTATTTTGACTTTAAGGAAAGGCTTGTGGTAAGTTTTGTTTCTATGGATATAAAGCAATTAGATTAAACAGCAATTGAAAACTATTTAGTGAAAAAGATACCAAAAGGTATTTCTTTTTCATTTTACACTAAATTGTGCATTGTTGTTTCAATTAGCAACTAGAGAACATTGTGTATTTATGGTTATGCTTATTTTTAATAAAAAGTTTATTTTATTTTTAGAAAAACAGCACTGATTGGACCGGATACCATAATGTGAGACCCAGTTATACTGCCTGAGGAAAACCTTCCTGGGTGATTTTTACAGTTGTGTGTAAAATACCATAATTCTGCTGGAGGCACCCATTTGAGTTTCAGATAGAATTTCTAAGATGCCTTAAAAACAACAAAGTGCAGTGTGTTGATTATTGTCCTACTTTACAACTTTTTAAAGGAAGAGTTGGTCTGCTTGACATAGGCTGAAAACAGGGATCGGAAATGCACTTCAGCATTCACCTTTCTCTTCCCAATTATATGCCTTCCTTCTCTCCCATTAGATTTTGCTCCCTCTGCTCCTTTTAGGAATGGCTAGAGGACAGTGCTTCAACAACTCACCCAGGCCTCATGCTAAAATGCAGATTGTGAGCCTATAAGTCTAAGGTGGAGCTCAAGATTCTACATTTCTAACAAGTTTCCAATTGAGGTCCATGCTTCTGGTCCAGAGATGATCACACTATGAATAAATAGCAAGTAGAGTCTGATCAACCTCTGTGTGTGTGTGCGTGTGTGCGTGTGTGTGTGGTTAGTGATGTACTACTTGCCTAATTTTTCCTTTTTTCTTAAATATTCAAATGTAAAAGCTCAAATTAAATAACAAAACAAAAGAAAAAACTCATTTCTCACTTTTAATCCATAAACATCCACTTGATTAAGTCAGTCAATCCAAGCAGCTATAAAGAAGAGGATCTGAAGGGAATTAGAGTTCAATTCTCATTGCCATTGATCAATGGGTAATTGTGCTTTCACCTCTATTTAATAAATCGTGCTAAGAAAGTAACAGATCTAGCAGAGATACCAAGGGCATTTGCAGCACAGAACCGGGATGCTTTGCTGATATTTTTCTTCGGATCCCATCATTAATTGTGTTAGCTTTCACTTTCTCAGATCTTCCAAACATATCTCTCAGTAAATTAGGCATTGGGATAGATGACCATCTTTGTAATCAGAGGCTATCATGTCCTGACTCTATTCTCACATAAGAGTTATATTGCCTTAGTGCTACCCAATAACCCAATAAGCAATGAGTTCACTCTCATCCAATTATGTGAGGACTTTTTATGCCAAGCAAATTCAGGGATTCAGGTAAAGGATGAGTTATACTTTTCTGTGGGGGGGATGGTGAGGGGAAATAGTCTCACTCTGACACCCAGGCTAGAGTGCAGTGGTGCCATCTCGGCTCACTGCAACCTCTGCTTACCAGGTTCAAGCAATTCTCGTGTCTCAGCCTCCCCAGTAACTGGGATTACAAGAGTGTGCCACCACGCCCAGCTCATTTTTTTTTTTTTTTTTTGTATATTTAGTAGCGACAGGGTTTTGCCATGTTGTCCAGGCTGATCTGGAATCCCTGATCTCAGGCAATCTGCCTACCTTGGCCTCCCAAAGTGCTGGGATTACAGGCGTGAGCCACCGTGCCTGGCTGTGGTTCAGCTTCTCTTAATTTGTTCAAAGATGACCTGAGAATACGTCTACTCAATTTTTCTATCGTCACCTTTTTTCTCTTATTCTCAATTTTCTGTCCTTTTTTATTGTTAATAAAAACAAGTGAGAGCAATAAAAAATCTGTGCAGGCAAATTTATTATTGTATCAACTGTTGTTGAGGGAGGAGACAAGCAGACCATATGCTGTACCTGATGACTCAGGACTAGAGCAATTGAGGCCCGGAGCAGGTAAATTTCCCCTGAAATTCCTAAGGCTTGCTGTATACTGGTACTTTACTAAATATCTTCTGACAAACGGTCAAAGGACAGTAAGGCCATAGAAATGGGGCAAAGGGAGAGAATACAAAGATGGATGAAGTGCTTGACATTGGGGGAGGATTGGAGGCGAGTCCTCAGGGAGGACTGGGGCAATTTGTCAACAGGAAAAGATGGCTCAGAGAATAGAAAAGGAAACAGGGACAAGTAAGAAGAAGGAAGAATTACAACTTGTCCCCTAAATAAAGCTGAATCTAGATATACGATTTTGGACAAAGATTAATTAGCTAAAGAGATAAGTCTCTATTGCTACTGAGGCCACAGTGAAACAACGAATTTTCCGGTACGAAAAGAGTTTGACCAAGAGTTTCTTAAGTGCTCATGGGGTATAAAAGAGAAAAGTGTTTCTTAAAGGCAGTACACAGGTGACTTGCTGGGGGCCTGGAAAGGAAGGGAGAGTGAGAGAGAAAGTGGTAGTGAGTGTGCTGCTTTTTGGAAGCCAGTTTCTGCCCAAAGTTTCTGCAAGAATTCAGACTCATAAAGGGCATCCTACTTTCTAAACTTACTGTTTGCTTTCCAGCATCTCACTCCATAAATGACACTAACGTAACCGAGCTCCAAAAGCTGAAGCATAAAAGGAAAGTCCATTCTTTTAAAATTCCAAGTCCTCCTCCCAGGGTCAGGTTGAGGGCATCTTGGCAAATCAGAAAAAGGGGGGAGTCATTTTTCCACAGGCTTTGCTTAAAATAAATAGTTATTTTAAGTTCTTTTATAAGTTGGAGAAATAGAAAACACCTTAGGGGCAATATGCTCTTATTTTGTAGGAGAGTGAGGGAGGTAACGTGCCCCTGGTTACATAGCTAATGAGTGATTTGATAGGAACTTGGTTATTATCCATTTTTTAAAACTCCCAGCATAGTATTCATTTTCATTTGCTTTAAAGTCATGCATCAGTTTTCTTTCAGTAATGTTTTTCATGGAGTATAGAATGAAGGCTTCTTTCAAACAAGAACAGGATTAAAGACAGAAGATGGATGTAAAAGATGTTTCCATATGTTGATGATGTTCTTCCAATAGTGATGATTTTAGGGTATACTCAGGGACCTCTAGTATATTTCAGCACTCCAACTGGCTGACTGTTCTGCCTCAGAGATTAATTAGGAAGTGATGGAGAAAGAACCACGGCATTAGTTTTGGCATATTTCCTCATCACTCAAACCCTCTGCATGTATCATGACATTCCCCTTGGTCATATCTGACTTCAGAAAAGATATAAGCTTGTGTGCTTTTTTTTTAAAACCCGTTTGGATTTTCATTCTCAGCCAGTTTGCCTGTAAAAGCCTCTGTGGGAATTACTCCTGATTAGGACAACATCCATTAGGGAAGAACTGATAAATTACAGAAATACTGTCCTCTGCACAGAGCAATGAGGCCCTTGGGACCCCAGTTAATGCTCCAGATTTGTGGTCACTTTGCTGTTTCCCCACAAGCAGATTTCAGCAGCAGATACAGTCTAAAGCCTCAAAAGTCAGCGCTAGAAAGTCAACGACAACTTGCCTGTCAGTATTCTGAGCTTAAACCTGCTTTGGCATGGGGTGGAGAAGATGACCTCATAGGTCTTTTTAATCTCCAATTTCTATGAACCATTGTTCTTGGGAATAGATGATTTAATAGGTTTGCCCATTCTGCTGTTCCTTCTGTTTGTTATATTTCACTTGGTTACCCTGGGAAGAACAAATACATTATGTAAGTTCAGAGATACTCAGAGGTCAAAATCTGCAAAGGGCAGAGTTTGAAGCAATGCGGTGGAGAAAGAGAGAGAATGGTGGTGAATAGGGAACCTGAGCTTACAAGTGCTTCCTAGATGTTTCCAGAGCAAAGTTTGAGGAAAAGTACCAGGACGTTACTTATTCTGGTGCAGTGAAAATAATACAAATATGGAAACAGAAGACCTAGTCTGAACTCTGACTTACTGGCTTCTGATGATCTCATATTCCACATAGATAATGGTTTAGTAATACTTACCCTGCTTATTTCAAGAGGGTTGGTTTGAGAATCACATGAGAGGGTACGTTTTTATGCATTGTAAGTGTAAAGTGATATATAAATTGGGGATATTATCATTATTATTATTTAATGAAGTAATTGGTATACTTAGAGCTGAACAGAAAAGTTCTGTGTACCAAGAACCATGCCAAAAACATCTACATTTTCTGAAAGCAATTTTGGGAGAAAGGACAAGAAATTGACAATAGGAAATTAGTTAATCAGTACACAGGAAGAAAGAGTAGTGAAACCTCAAATGTGCTCGTCTTCTGGTTTGCCCAGCATGTAAGCCAAAGCACTTTCCAAACTCTGGGAAATATTGAAAACAACCATTGATTTTTTTCTTACGATGAATTTCATTCATCATAAGAAAGTTTCGATAATATTCTAAACAGGCTAATATCCAAGAAGATGATTAAAATAATTTAATTCAGTAGAGATTTTTCTAAGCAGCTTCTAATGTGCAAAATCAAGACTTAGAAGGGAAAAACATTAATAAGATTTGCTTCTTATCTTCAAGAATTGCAATTTTATCGGAAAAATCAATTTAAACATATACACAGTATTTTCTGGGAGTTGAAATAGGATCAAAATGATTCTCATAAAGGAGTTTTTCTTTGGCTTTCTTTCCTTTTAAATTACTCATTGGTACCCAGAAGATGTCTTATGAGTGACTATCATTGGCTGCCATATTGCCAACACCATTTACCATTTTCTTCTCTCCTATTTCAATCTGCTGTGTTAGTGCCTCACGGCTTTGTCAAAATTTGCTGACGCTTTTGTCACCGCTGAGCCACAGGGGACCTCATCCACAGGTCTCTGGCTTGAGGTGCCACTAGTGCCCATGAGTGTCCCTACTGCACTAGTTGCACAAGTAACATTAAATATACAAGTAAGACAGGTATATAAACAAAGTGTAATAGGATTGCCTAGTAGAAACCTGTTAGTTCTGCTCAGCGAGGAAAAATTGGAAGGGTCACAGAGTGCTCTCTCTAAAAGGACACATTTATTTTTCAGTATAAATTACAAGTAGGATGTCAACAAATAGAAAGGGGAGAAAGGCATCCCAGGACTGTGGAAGTATATGGACAGAAGCACAGAGATGTAAGATGTCATAACATAGTCTAGGAAAAGAAAATGAGGCCCCCTCTCAAAAGTAACATCAAAGTGTTGAGAATAACAAAAGAATTTAGTACAAGGCCATATGATGTCTATAAAAGATGGGGTATGCATATTCACTTTTCTACAATTCTACTTTCCTACAGTAAAATGAGAGGTGGAGTTGATGGTATTTCTCTTCTCGTTAAACAATAAAAAGGATTTAAATTAAAATCCCTTTTACATTAAAATAGAATTTGAATTAAAATCCTTCTGAGTGAAGTCCTGGATTGGAGATGGTGGGGCGGGGTTTAGAGAGTAACGGAGCACATTAACCAAACGCCTGAACAAGTAACCTCTAAGGGCTCCAAAACCATAACTACCATAAGCAAACTTCACCTGGTGATAGTAAGAAAAAAATTTTTTTGAGGCAGGGTCTCACTCTGTTGCCCAGGCTGGAGTACAGTGGTGATCACAGCTCATTGCAGCCCTGACCTCCTGGGCTCAAGTGATCCTCCTGCCTCAGCCTCTCAAGTACCTGGGACTACAGGCATGTGCCACCATGCCCAGCTAATTTTTGTATTTTTGGAGAGATGGGGTTTTGCCATGTTGCCCAGGCTGGTCTCAAACTCCTGAGCTCAAACCGCCTGCCTGCCTCAGCCTCCCACAGTGCTGGGATTACAGGCGTGAGCCACCATGCCTGACCAAGTAAATATTATCTAAGTTCAGTTGTCTGAGAATTTACCTTGAAGAGTCTCTGCCATGACCAAAGAATGTTTTTTATAGTAATTAGTATATTTGTTAAATTGGATTCGAAATACCACTATGTTTTCCAAAATGGTAAGTAGTTTTGGTTGGAGATTCTGATTAAATTCACAAAAACCACTCGGGCTTCATTCTAAGGGATAACAATTTGTGTTGAGATTCATGCTCCTGCACACACACAGCCTTTACCTAATGTTGATGGTGCCAGGAAATCACATGCTTACATTAAGTAAAGGCTGTGCATGAGCAGGAGCATGGGCAACATGGTGAAATCCTATCTCTCCAAAAATACAAAAATTAGCTAGTATGAAGGAGGACAACTCGATTGTCACCTTTTTAAAATATTTTATGTCAAAAAGATAGTTTGCTTTATTGAACTATAGATTCTTATGGGTATCTTTGTTTATACTTCCTCCACTACCTCCCCAAACCACTCAAGAGGAGCATGCACACTGTTTTATAATCTCCGCCAACTACTCCAGCAATGTTGTTCTTGTTTGGGTTTTTCTCTTTTTCTTTTTAGTGTAGATCAGTTGTGCTCTATATTAAAGCTCTCAGAGGGTAGAGTCTAGCATGCCACTATTTGAAAATAGACCATGAATTAATGCTTTTAAATGATGATGATCATAACAATGCTGTCTCGTGTTCCACATACTGACTTTGGTTAGGCAGTGTAAAAAAAAAAAAAAAACAAATGCACCTTTTGGAGCAGCAGAGGACTTGAAAACCTCCCAGAAATTTCAGAGACAGACTTCTCTGCTCATGTGTCCCAGAGAATTTCTCATTGCTATTAAGTCATGCCTCTGGTTGAATAAAGGGATTTTCTATACGCTAAATATCAGTGTGTAGGAAGACTGCCCCTGGAGACACACTGGGAATTGCTGCATGTCAGTTTCATTCTCTTTCAGCCTTACCTTTCTCAAGCCCTCCTCTCTGACAGACCTACAGATTCTCACAACATAACACTTTGCACAACAAAAAGAAGACAATAAATAACAAAAATAGGGTTGAAGACTACTATGTATTAGGGTCTTCACTAAACAGTTTCCATAGAGATGACATTTGTTCATCACAGTAACTCAGCAATCCCTAAGTTAAAGACACAGAAACAGGCTTTGAACAGGTTAAGGAAATTTCCCAAGGTCACAGGACAAATATGCAGTAGGACTGAGATTCAAACCAGGTTGACTGGCTTCAAAATCCATGCTCTTCAGCATAACACTCTTAGTTTCCTTCATTTAACAAAGATGGTCTGTGACTGGGGAAGATGGAACAGGGGCTTATCACTGTGGACCTTAGGGGCTGTTGTTATTCCATATTCTTTCCAGTGACATGAATAATGAACATAGAGATTAGCTCAAAAGACATCTGGATCATGCTGTATTAAGACAATTATCATAATATCTTGAAAGATTGTTTTTTAAAAAAGAGAAATACATGGTTAATAGTGGAATGATGGTTAATAGGAAAAAATACAAGAACTTAACCCAAGGAATAAACTGTAAAATAAGTAAAGACCAATTGACACAAGCTAACTGAAAAATGTCTTGGTAAGTAAAGCATATGTTGTATTACCTTTTCAAAAAAGACAGGAAAAGAAAAAGGAAACAGTGAGATAGCTGATCGCATAGGATTGAACTGAGAGAGATGAAAAAAATGGACTCTTTAAAAATTTACTCAGAAATAGCCAGTGCTTTACTAATGTAGTAAGTGCAGATTTGATTTCCACTTAAAGATGGAGAAGTTAAAGATGACTTAGAGGAAAACTACCAAAAGACAGAAGAAATCAAAGATAAGAATTATGGGTAAATGCTTATGGCAATTGAGTTGTTCAGTTTAGAGAAAAAGATCAAAAGTAGCACCACACGTTATACCTAATATCATTATAAAAATTGCATTTTTTTGTTGGCTTCTACTTTTACAGAGGCAAAAGAATCCATTTGTGTTTCAGATTTACCTCATTTTAGGCAAAGACATTTTCTTTTATGAAAGATTACATGTAAATCAAGAGTTTTAGCCAAAATAAAACTATGAACTAAAGAGCAGGAGGAATTCCATTAATAGATTCAAGCCTAAAAGAAATTAAACCCCTAAATTGTTCTTTTCTATGGCACTGTGAACAAACCACAGGTCTCCCCAAGTCTCAACCACCCTCCCTCCAAAAAGCCTCTGTGAGTCAGTTTAAGCTGTGACTGACATTATAAATTTTTCTAAAGCAATTGAAATGGAACAAAACCAGAACATCAAAATGCTCTCCAAACCCAACCTGACCTGACTTGATATTTCGCTTGGTTTGACTTTCTAGTGTAAAAAAAAAATTTGTTTGAGTCATACTTAAAATGCACCAGAGAGCTCTGCTGTTTCACAAAGAAATCCTAAGGTGGATGCTTTAGAAAAACAAAAACTTTTGTGAAATAAATAATTATCCACTGACCTATTTATTTTGAAAATGTCATATTCTGGGGTCTACTTTGTTTAAGCTACCTGAATATCTACAGGTTTTGATTATGATGATGTGGCAAAGCAAGGTAGAGCTAATACTAATTTGGTCCCCAGCATCTTCAACTATATCAAGACAACCTTGCTGATTATTTTAAGTTAAAAAGTAATTATGGAATTTGGGTGATAAATGGCATAATATATCCAATTTTGCAGAGACTGAAAGCTAGAGAGGTGGACATCTCACACTTTCCACACTCAGAAATTTTAGGAACTTCAAGAAGCCAAAATTAGGGCATTCATTTTTACAGCTCTGCGTCAGTCTCCACTAGGGTTATGCTTGTAAGATATGAGCGCTCACTCCTCCTTTCTCTCTCCACAGGAGGACCGGGCAGCCTTTTCTGGAGAGCAACCTCAGCCAAGGAGCGGATGCCATAATTGCTTTCCCTTTTACCTCACCACTGGGACAGCTCTGAACACTTTATAGAGTTTGCTCCCTCAAGCTTGCATTCCTTACTTCTCATAGAAGCAAAATACTGCATTTCTTTTGATCTCATAGAAATGAAAAGGACTCTCTACGCCATGGCTTTTGGTCTTGGTTTCTGTTTCTTTGAATTTGGCTCCTTGGTGGGGTCCTGGGGATACTTGCACTTCACTATTGTTCAAGCTTTCAACTGAACTTAGAGGTGAATTTAAATCAATCCCCTAACAACAAAGAGATGTGTGTCAGGAGGGGTAGTGGTGACTCAGGGACAGATAAATGTAACTTCTCTAAGGTGTAAAGCCATATACCCTCATTCCCTAGAGGGGAACATATAAAAAGCCACTAGTAGAATGTCTTCTTCTATCAATTTCACCTGTTGATCTAATTGTAGGTAGAGATCCATAAGGAACTCATTGAGGGTTAGGGAGAGATTCGCTACTCAGATACTGATTAGGCAAGAAATGTAACACCAAGTGAAGAAATGGAGTCCAAGAATTTTCCTAATCCTGAAAAAAGTAGGGAGTGTGGAGAGAGGAGTTGATTATATAAAACAGAAGGGCAGATACATTGCAAAAAATGTTAAATTTTACTGCCATATATGTGACATTCAAATTATTTATAGCAGGGAGACCTTTATTTCAAAACTAGCTGTCTGATCTTGAGCAAATTACTTAACCTGGCCAACATATGCTTCTCTAATATGATCAATTAGGAATTATCTGTACTGAACAGTGTTATTTTGTGGATTAAATGGAAATGTAAAAACTGGTTGACATAGTATCTGAAGCATAATGGACTCAGAGAATATTAGTTCTCTTCCTTTCCATGAACTCAACTGTTAAAACACACAAGTGTATATAACAGTTCTATCACTTTATTTATTTATTTATTTTTCAGATGGAGTCTCACTCTGTTGCCTAGGTTGGAGTGCAGTGGCTCAATCTTGGCTCACTGTAACATCCACCTCCCGGGTTCAAGCAATTCTCCTGCTTCAGCTCCCCCAAGTAGCTGGGACTACAGGCGCCTGCCACCACACCTGGCTAATTTTTTTTTTTGTATTTTTAGTAGAGATGGGGTTTCACTGTGTTGGCCAGGCTGAGTCTCAAGCACCTGACCTCGTGATCCGTCTGCCTTGGCTTCCCAAAGTGCTGGGATTACAGGCATGAGCCACCACACC
Organism: Homo sapiens; assembly: GCF_000001405.40. Lineage (NCBI taxonomy): Eukaryota > Metazoa > Chordata > Mammalia > Primates > Hominidae > Homo > Homo sapiens. Next base: position 28,981,690 of record NC_000012.12, on the reverse strand, counting down.
TGGCCCTATCACTTACTTTTGAAGTACCTATTAAATCCTAGGTGCTTCACAGATTTTGCCTACATTTCATCATTTAATTTACTGTATAAATTAATTCATCTTTGTCTTATTCTGTCAGGTTAATGTTATCATTCTCTTTTTACAGATTTATTGAGACACAGAGAAAGCCAAGTAACTTGCTCATAATTTCACAGCTAGTAAAAGGTAGAATCAAGAATTGGAGCCATATACTTTGATACAAAAGTATTATCACACTCTTTTCTTTTCCTAAGCCTGCTGACCAAGCTTGCACAGTTCCCTCTGGGGAAAAGATCTATCGACCTACTTTAGATTTTATCAAAGTGAAAGAGTATTTTTTATTCATTCAATGATCAAGATTGATTTATTTTTCTGAATTACTTCAAGAAACCTTGAGATATCTGATAATCTAGAAAACATCTGGTCATTTCTTCTGTGAGTATCCTGACTACTAAAACTACGTTACTCATTTAGTTTTGCCTGGTTTTAATATATATATGTCTATAAATTAATATATAGATATTATATAATAATATATATACATGCACATATATACACCATGTGATACAGTATATATTCTTTCATATCTGACTTTTTCTACTCAACAATATATTTGTTAAGATCATTTACTCTGTGTGTGAAGCTGTAGTTCATTTGTTTTCAAAGATGACTAGATTTCTCTGGGATGAATATACCATAATGGGACATTGAACAGTTTTTATTTGGGGGCTGTGATGAATAGTGCTGTGATCAATATTCTTGTACTTGTATTTTAGTTCATAAGTCCTTGCATTTCTGTTGGAGTGGAATTACTGGATTATGAGGTATGAACATGCTCAGTTTTAGCAGATACTGCCAGTTTTCCAAAGTGGTTATATGCTTCACACTTCCACCAGCAATGAGTTCCAGTTGTTCCACATCCTCATCAGCAATGTTATTGTGAGTCTTTTTCATTTTAGCCATTCTGGCAAGTGTGTAATGGTATCGCATTGTGGTTTTAATTTGCATTTCCCTGATGACAGTGACGTTGAGCTTTTTTTCTTATGTTTATTGGCCCTTTGTATAACCTCCTTTGTGAAGTATGACTTTGGCTGTTTTTCATCAAATAGGCTATCTTACTGATGCGTAAAACTTCTCTGTACCTTCCGGATAGGAGCCCTTTGTCAGTTTTAAGGATTGTAAATGTCTTCTCTCTCTTAGTGTCTTGCCTTTCCCACTTTCTTAATGGTGTCATTTGAGAAATAGAATTTTTCGTTCTAATATAGTACAATTTATTAATAATTTCTTTCAAGGATAATGATTTTTATGTCCTGATTATGAAATCTTTCCTTCCCTTAGGTAATGAATATACTCTCCAGTAGAAACGTTATTGTTTTGCCTTTCACAAAGATCTACAATCCACCTGAAATACATATTTGCATGTACTCTGACGTAGAGAATGTTTCATTTTGTCCACGTGTATCCAATTGTCCCAGCAGTACTTATTAAAAAGATTATCGTTTTTCCATGGTTGTATAGTGCCACCTTTGTCTTAACTCTATAGTCCACATATGTAGACTCTACTTTTTTTCCCTTGGTTATCTTTGATTCCTTGAGAAAATATCATGCTGTCTTAATTACTATTACTATTTAATGTCCTTAATTATTATTATTATTATTATTATTATTATTTTTTTTTTTTTTGAGAGAGGTTCTCTGTTTCCCAGCCTGCAGTGCAGTGACATGATCACAGCTCACTGCAGCCTCGATCCGGGCTTAAGCGATCTTCCAGGCTTAGGCGACCTTCTGGGCTTAAGAGATCTTCCCAACTCAGCCTACTGAGTAGCTGAGATTACAAACACATGCCACTACACCTGGTTGATTTTTTTGGATGAGGTCTTGCTATGTTGTCCAGGCTGGCCTTGAACTTCTGAGCTCATGCAATCCTCTTGCCTAGGCCTTGTATAGCCCTGGCTTTCTTAAACTTTTGATATAAATTTTAGCAACTTGTCAAGATCCACCAAAATTATTCAAAAAACTCCTTTAGGATGTTGGGGGAATTCCACTAAATCATTAAGATCAATTTGGGGAGAATTGACATGCAACATTATTCATCCTTTTGTTTCTATTTATTTATGCTTACTTTAATGTTTGTGCTATTCCTTGATACATTTCTGTGTAGAGGTCTTATGAGGCTTTATTTAGATTTATTCCTAGGAATTTGGTATTTTGAAAATAACAAATGCCATCTTTAAAATTTAATTTCCGTTTTTATTTGTAGCAATTGAATGCAATATAATTTATATTTTATGTTACTCCTCATTTCAATCAATTTTTCTTAATTTTCCATATGTGCACAAAAATATGTGTATTCAGTAGTGGTTGGACACAATGTTCTAGTGAATTAGTTAAACTGGTTAATCATGTTATCCATACATTCTACACCTTTTCATTTGTTTGTTTGCTTCCAAACAAGCTTTTTATTTACAGATACAAAACAAGACTCTGGCCACAGGTGGCAAGGGCATCCCAGGCTCACCTGCACCAATGCCTTCCTGGCCAGAAAGGGCCTATAGGACCAGAAATGTCAACTCTCCCCCATCCCCTAGTCAAAAATAATTGGAACTCCTACCAGAAGGGTTACCCCAGTTAAAACCTACTGAACCAAGAAGAATGAGACAAACCAAGGGAGATGCCAATGAAAAACCAGTGGCAATCAGGCATGAAGGTGGCAGCTAGCCACTCATACCCCAATGACAGGTCACCTTGGAAAAACTGTCCCCTGTAGGGTTTCCAAGGATGACATCTTGTCCTCCCCCTTGGGTTGGTCCCACTCTTGAAACAAGATAAAACCCTAGAATCTAAAAAATACCCTCATGCCCCCAGAATTCCAAAGCAAACTAAACCCACCCCACCCCATTCTACCCTTGCCCAGAGCATTTTGCTGAAATTAACTTACACATGCCCATCTAACAGGATCCTGTTCTCAGGAGTGAGCCAGTATGTCACATCCTCATATGCTCACCGTACTCCTCTCAGGTCACCCACTCACACGTATAGGTAGAAAGGTGAGCCACCACAGATGCTCCTAGCCAGATGCTAAAGTTTCTTTACTGGCTTTTTTTGCTTGCTATATTTATTTACAGTGTTTATTTATTTAATATTTATTGTGTTATTCACTAATCCACTAATGGATTCTAATGGATTATTTGCTGAGAGTAGTGTGTTAAAATCTCCCCACTATAATTATGAACTCATCTATTTCACTTTCTGTTAAGTGTTTAAAATATATTTTGAGGCTATGTTCCTTGGTGCATAAAACTTATAATTGATATATACATTCCTTGTGAATTAAACATTTTATCATAAGAACATTATCTTTTATAGTACTTTTTTCTTATATAACCTACATTTTTTGATATTGAATAAATTTGTCTGATATATCACCTTTCTTTTGGCTAGTATTTATATGACATAATCTCCCCATTCTTATAGTTGCAACCATTCTGGCGTTTATAATATGCATTTAATGATTTAAATGCATTGAATATTAATTTACATGTACCTCTTTTCCCTTAAACCATAGTGATTTTCTTTAATTTTCCTCACTATTGACTTGCATGCCTTTATTAGTATGTATATTATATGTATTTATAGTTTACATGTCTTCACCCACATGAAACATTATTATAATTAGATAGTCAAATAAGTTATGTTGATCACTGTATTTACTACTAACTTTGCTACCTTTCCTTCTTCCTTCTTTGAGCTTCCTTTGGAAATTGGTTTCCCTCTAAGAAACCCTTTAGTGTGTGTGAGCAAGAGACAATTATTTTTGTCTGAAATGGCTTTATTTTATTTTAGTCTTAAAGGCTATTTTCTCTGGGTATAGAATTTTAGGTTGGCAACTATTTCTTTATTATTTCACACTCTTCTGGTTTCTATGTTTTCAATTGAGAAGTGTAATTATTGCACCTTGAAGAACCACCTTATTAGCACTTTGATACTTTCAGGCAAACTTTTATAACACATTTGTTGTACAGCTTTTCCAGTTGTCACCAGTGGAAAGATTGAGCTGAATTCTCTACTACTTTATTAATTGAAGAGTTTATTATATTTTTGCCAAGTATGAATGAACCAATGAGTATCAAAAAAAGATCAACTTTGTCTGAAATATCTTTCTTCAGTCATCTTCTTCAAAGGAACTAATGATATAAGTGTCCAACCTTCAGTCTTAATCAGGTTTCTTGATGGGATTCAGATGCATCTAATCATGTGTAGCAGATACATGACTATATTACAGATATCAGTTGCAAAGACTATATTGCAGGTATGCATGAGGACCCTCTTGGAAAAGAGCTTTAATGGAAAGAGTGTCAGCTAAGGCTGATGGAATAACAGGGCCTTCATGGTGAGAGTGGTAGTGACAGTGATAATTTCTTTTCTGTTCTCTTGGATTAGCATTTCCTTCCTTAATCAATCTGAACCTCTACCAAACTTTTGCTTGAGTCCAATGCAATGGGCATATGAAGTGAAATCAATAAGCACTGTTTTCACCAAAATATCTGTTCAATATTAGGTGATAAGCTGGAGTTGTTTTGGAACCCATTTCATAGCTAAATCCAAAAGGGGCAAAGAGATGTTCACTTTGTTTTGACAGGAAATATGGAGCATTTAATGCTCCATGACATGAAAAAAATAACTATGGTAGTGAATACATCCAAGGATGGGTAGCAGCACTACTTCCATGAAAGCACTGGTGATTAGCAAGGATTAGCTGTAATCAGTACTTGTGATTTTGTGGACTATTCAAGCTTTAAAAATACAAACCCTTGAGGGATCTGGAGCTGATGAGAAAAGTGTTGGATGCCACATTATAACTTCAACTGTGGTTCTTAAATGCATCCATACAACCTGGAAAACAGGAATAATGCTGATTTCTGGGGTACATTGATGACGTTCTGGGTTAGTAAGCAAGGCTTTCCAATGAGCTCAGCTAGCTTTTCATGTGAAGTTATAGAAACAATGAAATAGAACCCCCGATGTTCACTACTGGGATGCCAGTATGCTTAGTACATTATGATGACTGTGGTATTTTACCATTAACCAAATAGTCACCACTGTAGGTACTGTCTTCATTCAAAAAAATACTTCTTGTATGGAGTAAGGCCTTCCAAAGCCAGAGCCTATAATCAAAATAATGAAAATAATTCAGCTAAGATTGAAATCAAGACCCTATCTCTTGAAGTTAACCTGTAGAAGTTGTGCTATTTAAGTTAGCATGACCTGTTTTCATGTTGCTCTTTACCATCAATGAAAAAAAAATTTCCATCATATTTCAGCTCCATAAAGCACATAGTCTGTAACAGGCATTGTATTGACACTGCACATGCAATTTCTCATTAATCTTCACCACAGTATTAGAGGATAGGCATTAGAAGAAAACTGAGGCAAAGAGAAATGATCTCAACCATGATTTCAGAGTTGGTAAGTAGCAGTGCCAATGTTTGAAGTCTAGTCTGTCTATACCAAAGACTATGATTCATCCAACCCTCAACACTGCCTCCTCTGATCATGAATACTCGTGTTGGAAAGGAAACACTGTGGTAGGGGATTTCTTTACAGATTAAACTAGGTACATTCACCTCTAACTTTTCCTTGCCTGTATTATCCTTCAGGGCTGGACCATGGCTGTTACAAAAGATGGCTTTTAGGATAGACAAAATTTCATCATAAAAGCACAGGGGAAATTTGAGAAATTCTAACTACGTTTCTGAACACTATGCACATTTCTTCATAACTGTAGGATACATAAATCGAGCATATTTCTTGTCTGTAACAGTAAATATATTTTAAGTTTACAAAGAAAGCTCTTTATCTCAAGAATATAATGTACACAGAGACAAGAGAAGCATTGTTATTGAGGGCAGAAAAATAGAAGCCAATAAAACTATGCCCTAGAGCCAAAAGATATGGATTTATGGGAGTAGAGAAGGAGAAGAAAAGAGGGAGGAATATACAGAGAAAAAGTCACAGAGAGAAAGAGGCAAAAGTGAGTACAGCAAGGAAATGCAATGCAGCCTATGCCTATGGAAGAAGAAGCAGGGATTTAAATATTTGCTCCCTTCTTAGAAGTTAGTGACATGTCAATTAATTTTTCCCATTTATAAGAAGAAGGGAAAATCCTAAGTATTATGTGGGGTTTTCTGTTTGTTCATTTTGAGGATATGTCCTTATATAATTACCATTATATAAGCATTAACCTTTATTTTGGGTGTTCTTTTAAGGCCCAAATAATAAAACTGTCCAATTCTTAGTGGATTTATGATGTCATACGGACATAATTAGAGCTGGATTTCACACAGTGCAAAAAAACTGGAGTCTTCTTTCTTACATCAAAAATGTAAAACAAAAGAAAGAAAACATTAAAAATGTAAGAGAAACCTGGAGTTAAATGTTAACTGAAGTCACCAGCTAATAAACTTGGTCAAGAAATGAGTAGATATTTCTTCTCTTTTTCTAGCCTTATTATGCATTTACTAAAATGACAGTTAGAAGTCTCTATGTTCCTTGACCCTTCCTTTTATGCTGAAGCATATCTTGATGATGCAATATTGATATGATAAATCAACTATGGAATTCAATTTGTTGTTGCGAAAAATCAGAGTGGTAGGTACTTCAAGCTAGGCAAGTGGACTGTTTCCAGAAGTATGTACAGTAAAAGAAATGAAGAGACTAGGTAAAAACCAGGGAAGGCATAATTCTCAGGCTGATTAGAGGCTACAGGTCAAGCTGACACTGTCAACTGTCATGGCCTAACCTTGTTTCATTCTGGTTTTAGTGTTCAAGAAGCGTTACTTGTTTATTTCTTCATTCGCTCCAAGCTACTCACCCCACTGAAATTGGATTAAGTTAAAACTGTGGGGTTTCTCTTGGAGGCCTCAAAAAACTATGCCCCACAGCTTTTCATCAGTGTCTCAACTGTGTCTGCCAACAGTGAAGGTCTCTCAGGGAGAAACATGTCATCAAAAATTGCAAGTTCTCAGTCACACCTTTTGATGAAAAAAAAAAAAAAAAAGTTTCTCCTCCCCACCCCACCCCACCCCGGCCTCTGCTCTTACAGGGAACTCCTTAAATAAAACAAACAAGCTCTACACCTCTCCAGGGTCACTCTTAACCTTGTCAAGACTGTTTTTTCCCCAGTAACCTGGTGGTCTTGGCAAAACTTCATGCAGGTTCCCATGCTACACATCCAGAGATTGTGGGGTTTGGTGGTTACAGGGAATGAGCCAGAGAGTCTTGCATTTTAGTCTTGCCGAGCAACTCAACTCTCTGACCTTGCAGATGAGTCATTTGGATACCATTGACTGAAAGGGAGAATTGGGGGCAAATATAGGAATCTCTGAAATCCAGATGCTGTTTGTGAGTTATGTCTTCCCAGATCAAATAAACAAGCTCAAAAAGCAGTCACCCTGGCCACCATGGAAAAATATTATGTGCCCCAGATACTTCTGTGGCTGGTGGGTGGCTAAATTAGGTTCTTGTTTTGTCTAAAGGCATTTGAGTATATGTAAAAAATTATACAGCAAAAATCTGGTGTCTTGAATCTCTCTAATCATGAACACTACTAGTCTTAAAATAAGTCATTGACAAAGCATAAACATAAATTAAAATACAATTTACCAGTAAAACACATTGCTTGCCTATTGCAGAAAAGCTAAAAGCACCGAGTTAAAACATTTAGATGTCCTAGATCGTTACTTACAGTTATGCTATTCTGGAATCACATGGAAACCATTATTAACTGTTGTAACGAAAACCTGAAGACCCACAGGTTTCTCAGAACAAAGCTATATATGACTTGACATTTCTTGTATGACATCCAATCTTGCTGAGAGAAAGAAAAAAAGTTTCACTAAGATCCAATTTCCATCAAGAGGGTAGCCAACATTTAAATTCTTTATCTAGTTATGGTATGCTTCAGAGCATTCATTGGTTTTGGGTGTTTACTTCTCTCCATCTGTAAAGTTCTAGAATAGATGGTCTGGAATTCCTGCTTCTTTCGTTTTTATCCTTTCAACCAAACACCCAAGGAATGCAATGAGCCACTCCATCTGGCACCTCATACCTTTTCACATGATGGAAGAAAACTTCTGAGTTACCCAAATTTTGCCCTTTTTCTCCTCCTTCCCATCTCCTCTTTTATTATCTGGGGTGCTCCTTGGTTAAAAAATGTTTTGCTGTTCCTTGGATGCCAGAAAGGGTGTTCTCTACTTTTCTTCAGCTATCTAGGGTCTTCTCTTGAGGCCTTTGAGCAACCAGCCAATTAATGAACTGCTACCTTAGCAATTATATTAATGGAAGAAGGTTTGATGGAAAAGTAAAACAATCAAAAAGATTTGGGAGGTAGAAACTTTTGGGTCCACACTAAACTTTGAGAGGTTATTTTCTCTTCTCTAGACCCTGCTTTCTTCATTGGTAAAATGATGGGGTTGGATAAGATGCTCAGACCTTTCTAAGCCCACAATTTAATAATTTAATAATTTTTTCCCTTTTCACATAATTTATGTGCATTATAAGAGTGGCTCTTTGGAAATCTTTCTTTAGAGTGTTGCCTCTTTTTGACTTAAATTTTCTAAGATGAGAATTTTGGGATATACAGGAGCTAAGAGTAATCCATGGCAGAGATTTCTGGATTGGTAGGGCCATTTAAAGTTCCATAAACCAGGTAATAAAATAACAAGTTAACATTTATTAAGCACTTTATGTGTATGAAAATCATCATGTTATTTTAATGCGTGTTAACTAATTTCATCTTTGGTATAACAGGTAAATATGATTATCATTGTTTTACACATAAGAAATATGACGAATAGAGAGGCTGCCCACAATGTGTTGCCCCAGGGTACACAGCTGGTAAGTGACACAGCTGAGATGTGAGCCCAGGCAGTCTGGCCAGGAAGCCATGATCTTTAAAAATGAATGCTATGCTGAGGAGGTTCTTACACAGGATTCATACTTTTTGCTGGCCTTGCCTACATAATTTTACAAACCTCATTTTAGAACCAGCTTCTTCATCCATAGACTCCACAACATCACCATTGGCCCTAAAATTCCAGCACAAACTATGGTCTCATTGATCACTTTAATAAAAGCAAGCAAACCCTCCATCCAGTTTTCTATCATTCTGTGTGCACAACTAACAACTTAGCTATGAAAATCTACTTATCACCCAAGGTTGAAAGCCCCAAGTCCTCGATTTAACGTCTTGCCCTGCATTTTTTCCTAAACTTATAACCACTTTCCCTGGTATATCTGCCAGGCTGAAACTCTACCTTCTTCATGGCCATTTCTGATTAAAGTTGGTAGCTCTCTTATCTATTCATTTAAAAATAGTTCTTAATGATTTACCATGAACTCAATATCATGCTAAGACATAGGATAACCATGTAAAGTAGGAAATACAGTCCTTGAGCTGATTTGAGTTTAAAGTCAAGACTGAAAAAATGCCCAAGAAGTTATTACAACAAAAAATAACCAACTCCCCGTGTGCTAGGGATACAATAAAATTAAATTATATAAACTCTTCAGATTAAAATGTATGTATTTTTCAAAAAAGCAAGTGTAAAAATGATATTTCTAATTCCAATTTTTTACATTCCTATAATTTTGTATTTTTTTATAGAACAAGTAATCCTAAACTTAGAGACATGATAATATACATATCCATGTGTGTACCAATGCTAAGGAAAAATAATTACTGTTACCCATATCTTGATAATAGAAAAATGGCAGTTCTAATCTTCCCCTGTCTTGCATGCTGTCCTTCACTACCTTGCCTTGATTGACATCTCTGATGCACCTGCACTGTACCACAGGCCAGATGTGCACTGATTAATTCATCCTGTAACTTCTGTAAACTTCCATAAATTTCTTACTCCGGGATCTTTTAGGCTGAAAATAATATCAAAATACTTTATAAACTTTCCTGGAATTTTAGGATATTAGGAACAAGAGAGAAGTGTTGGATGAACTCTAGAAAAACCCCTTACATTTTTCGGATATTGGCTTTAGCTTCACAAATTCAGACAGCAATGGCTCTCCAAGTCTTACTAGATAATTGAGTCACGTATCTACTTTTAGACCTTCTCAGCATGTCTCGTATCTAAGGGCTGTTTCCCTATAGTGCTTCTGGTAGTCTTTTCTCTTTACCTTTTTATCAGGCTAATTCAAATTTCTTCTTCAAATCTTGGTTTAGATGTATGTTTTCTTCAGGATGCCTTTTCTGACTCTCTCTGCCTTAGCTGCTTCTCCTCTGTGTCTCCACAGCATCTCATAACAGCACCCTTATCACCATCAGTCTCTCCCAGTGGACTGTGAGTACCACTGACTGCCAATGCCACCAGGAACAGATACAATTTCAATCTTTAGCCCATTGCAGGCTCAGAGTGAGTGCTCATATTTAAGTACAAAGGAATGAATAAAATACATGTTCTTTTTGAGTTCTCCTTGAGGAAAGGAGGGCATATTCCTGGAAAGGGTCTAAATGGAAGACAGTGTGTCCTAAAGAGTACTACCTCTTAAAGATAGGGTAGATTCATTTAACAAAATATGGCTTTTCAGGAAAAACAAACATAAAATGTAGGGGAGAAAAAGTAATATATTTTCCTCATCCATCACAAGACTTATGGTTGACACCTCTATAACAAATAAAAGACTAACAAGAGAAAAACATAACAAGTTTATTTGACCAAGGTTTTCTGTGACATGACAATATTCAGAAATGAAGACCAAAGATTCAGAGAAAACTGTGTATTTTTTATGCTCAGGTTTGATGAAGAATGGATAGCTGTGTAGAAGTAAAATTAGACAAAGAGGGGATATGACCTAATGGTAATAAACTGGGAGGAACTTAGCATGGCTTATTCGGGTTTCTTTGTGAATTCTCTCTGTAACCATCCTTCTTTCCAGGTATAGGGCAAGACACTTGTCACATGAGGGAAGTGCTAAAGAAAATCAGAGAAACTTTTCTGCTTTTGCAGTTTTCCCAATTTTCTTCAGCTTAAAATATACTCTGCATGCTAAAGTGCCATATTTTGGGGTAGTATTTCCAGCCCCCATATTTGGGGGTGGTATTACCATGACAACCCCCCAGTTATTTGCGTGTTTGTTTTATGAGTAGTACTCATGTCTTTGTATCCCATACTTAGTACAAAATCCTGCCAATAGTAGGTTACTAGATAAAAAGTTTGCAAGGCAGGCGTATATCAGAGAGAGAATAGGGGTCACGTGGAGGATTAAATGGGAAAAGAAACCCTAAGGGAGGGCCGGGCGCGGTGGCTCACGCCTGTAATCCCAGCACTTTGGGAGGCCGAGGCGGGCGGATCATGAGGTCGGGAGATCGAGACCATCCTGGCTAACACGGTGAAACCCCGTCTCTACTAAAAATACAAAAAAATTAGGGGGGCGTGATGGCGGGCGCCTGTAATCCCAGCTACTCGGGAGGCTGAGCCAGGAGAATGGCGTGAACCCGGGAGGCGGAGCTTGCAGTGAGCTGAGATCGAGCCACTGCACTCCAGCCTGGGCGACACAGCGAGACTCCGTGTCAAAAAAAAACAAACAACAACAACAACAACAACAAAACAGAAAAGAAAAGAAAAGAAACCCTAAGGGAGACTGAAAAGGGCTATTGGTCCAGAAAAAAAAAATGTTTAGTTGAGTGTTGAGACATCAGAAGAGAAACATTGACATGCTGTTATCAAGGGTGGAGCTATAACAAAGTTACCTTGGACTTGGGGGTAATAGTTTGACCAATATTTTTGTGGCCACCCAAAGAATAGCCAAAGTTATCTGTGTCTTGTCAATGTCAAGCATCTCAGATTAAAGCAATTCTGGGGCCTAGGAGCCAGATGATGGGTTTCTTGTCTCTATCATTGTATTTGTCTAGGCTTGTTAATCCATTTCCCTTGATGGAACATGGGCTACTAAGAGCACCCTGCCCAGTGCCTGGTACATGGCATGAAAGTGAATGAATGCTTGAACAAATGAATCGAATGAATACATCGCTGAAAAATAAATCGCTAAATGGATCCTTCACATTTAAAGAAGGATTCTGGTTTATTTCCCAATTAGTTTTTCGGGTAAGCATCCTGATGTCCTGGAGAACAGATGTGCAATGATGAGAGCTTCTCTCCCAGCATCGATAGAAGCAAATATGACACATTTTAAGTCCAGCTGGGCCTCAAAGCCAAGGAAGGGCACAGATAAGCTTGAATGTCAGCCAGCCGTATTCATTTATCTTTCATCCTACAAATGTCTGCTGATCAATCACTCTGCACAGAACTCAAATAAGCTCTGAGAACATATAGACTAATAAGAAAAAAATTCTGTCTGTAAGGAGTTTATGATGCAGGGGAGGGATGATGGTATACAGAAATCAAATATCACTTAATTTCAGCAAGTAGTGACAGATCATCTTACTCTCTTGAATCTCTAACCTCTGGAAAATGGTTTTGTTTACTGAGCAGAGAATGATTGAAACATAAGGATTTTGGCAGAGGACCACCTGCTGAAAAAACAATTTGAGCTTATGTACTTATTTGGCTGCTATGAATTTTCATCAAAAAGCAAGTATAGATTTCTCTTGATGTGATTATTTAGCTGCATAAAGTTTAATAAAAAGGCACCATTAGAAGGTTTTCTTCCTGTTTGAAGTTTTAGCTAAGATAAATTTTTATCCTTCTAAATCATCAGTGTAGTCTTCCATTTCTGGTAGCTTTCATTATCTGTGATGGGACAAGATGGGGGATCACAAGCAGAAGTATAAATATAAATACCAGTCATGTCTTGGGACTGAAAACAAGTCCATGCACCTGCACCCTCAGCCTTTTCCTTTATTTCGCAATTAAAGAGGGGAACCACACTGATTCTCTTCCTACAAATTTTGTTTTACTCTCAAATGATAGTAGGAGAAGAGAAAATAAATAAAAATTGTATGTGTAAGTTCAGGTTCCATAGTTCACCAGCTGTGTGTCCTCAGGCAAGTCACATCTGCAAGACCTCAGTTTCCCCGTTTATCGCTTGAGTCAAGCAGCGTGGCCCTGCTGGTGTAGGTGCAAATGACTATCAAGATTTCCTGGAGCATAATCAATCTCTGATTTGAGGGAGACACATACGGAGCAGTCAGGTTAAAAATCTCATCTTCCAGGGCACAGAATTTCAGGGCTTTTAGAGGCAGGAAGCTTAGAGGCAATAACCTGGACTTTGGGTTTGAATCCTTGCATTAGAACTTACAAGACTGCTGTCCTTAGGGATGTTATATACCTAGAATCTGTCATTGCCTCTATAAAACAAAAATACTCTTTGTACCTCACGAAGGTGTCATGGCAACTAACAGAAAAAAAAAGAACAAATATCTTTGTTCTCAATAAATGATTGTATATATCCCACCCCTGCCCCACTTCACACACACACACACACACACACACACACACACACACACACACGCAAACACATCCCTCCGCCAGTACACCACAATTCAGATGAGCGTGTGGCAGGGCCAGAGGCATGTTTCACAGAAAACTCACAGGTTTTCTATGCCCCAGATCACCAGAAAGTATGCGTGACTAGGAAAAGTTATTCTCATTGACTCTGGCAAATCAAAGGTAGGCTTCCCCGAAGCGGGCTTAGATGAACAAAAGCCTCGGACAGAGGGATCCTGGTTGGAAATATCCATTTCTAAGCATTTATGATGACAGCCATAGCTGGCAAGGCTGTCTTTTCCAAAAGGGGAGCTCCCTCCATGATGGCTTAGGGAAGAATTCCAGACTTCACCCTGTCCCTTACCAGAAAACAAGAACCTCTTAGTTTGTGTTTACGAGAAGATTGTTAGTTTCACTCCAGCTGGAGGTGAAAAGAATGTGGAGTGGAGTCTGCAGAATTTGCTGAGGGTGTGCAGGAGTTGTGTGTGTGTGTGTGTGTGTGTTTGCATGGGGGCGGGATGCAAGGCAAGAGACCTATTGGAATAACGGCCTTGGAGCTGAGGGCTGAGGTTCACCTCTCGCACTCGTACACTGTGTATGTTGTGCACAAGGTGTTGGAAGAACTGCCAGAAATAATTCCCTCTTGAGACGGAGCAGGGCAGTTCCTACTGGCTTGGCCGGAGGAGGCTGTCCCTTCATCTGTCCAGGAGGAGCTGCTGTTGACAGATTGCTGGGGGCCTTTCAGCTCAGACCTCCATCTCGGGAGTGTGGAGAAAAATGAGGGAGGGGCACACTGCCTCCGTGGGTGGGACACACCTGCTGCTGCTGCTTGGAGCCTTTGTCGCCACCCAGGACCATCATGCTAAGATGGGGAGGGGGTGACATTGGTGTAATCTCAGGGACTGACTGAGTCAGGCCACAATGGCAGCCTTTCTTGCAGCCACATATATATGCCAAGCGAGGACTCAATGGGCCATACCATAACCCAGGAATCTGGCCAATTCCTGATGCTTTTATCCCAATAGCAATATGGCTGAACAACCCAACTGTAGACAATGGAGTTGTGGAGGAGGATAATAGGGCTTATCTTGATACACCTGTTCATAGCTTCCATTCCTAACTTTTGAGAAAGTGGACGAAGGAAGAAGTCATGGAAAGAGTAAGTCAAAGCGAAGACTTTTCCACTCCCTAGGAAAAACTATTTTGACTCCCTGGACATGGTTCTAATATGGGATTCTGGGGCAAAAGGTGTGGATTTGGTGTTCTACATTCAACTCTCCCTGTTGTTTTGCAGCACTTGTAGGGCTGAGGGGCCCACCTGTATTCCCTACTCCTCCACCTCCCAGCCCACTGGGTCTCTGCTCAGTCTTGCTGGGCCAAACTGAACCTATAAAGCAAGCAAACTTCCTTGTTGTCATTATTAGTGAAGATATATTTTACTGAACTTGAAAGTAGTGAGAGTATCATTTGAGGGGGAGAGACAATGGAAATTTATTTTAAAAACAACAACAGCATAATAATAACGATAACACCCCTCAAGAGTGGGACTCTCACTTCTCATTTCCATGCTACTGTAGCTCTGGTTTGGCCAGCCTCCTTGGCTTGGCAAGCGTGATCCACTTCATCTCCCACTTTTCCTGTTGGCTGAGGTCCCATTCTCCTCTTGGCTCCTGTAGCTCAATTCCTGGCTGGCTACACTAATCCTACATAGTATTTTACGCAAATTTATATGAACCCCATTACAAAGCTTAGCAAGGAGGCCCTGTTTCTTTTCCTTGATAGAATTAATCATTTATAACTTGGCTGTAAGAAGCCAGTCCAACTTGTGGGTCCTTAGATTTTGCTCATAAGAAACATTCCTGGCTCCACCCAGGAAGAAAAAGATTTCTTATTCCTCTGCCCTGCCCCAGCCCCCTGAGGTGCTGTCTACTTTGGAAATTCCCACCAGTCTTATTTAGAACCACACTCACAAGTTGCCTGGGAATTTCTCCCAGAAAGCTTCATTTTCCCCCCTGCCCCTGGGGCTTCATTTCCCACAGACCCCTGGGAGGTTTAGACTGTTGTCTGTATCAACAACATGATAAACTTATTGTGGCTGCCAAGGCTTCTCCAAAGAGTTGTGGGAATCATTTGTGAATTACTTCTTTGATTTTTCTTAAATGAAATTCTGTTTCCACTCATGTTAAATGACTATTCCCAGAGTACAGTTTCTTTAGTGGCATTGTGACATTAAGGAGGAAGACATACCTCCCATGGTGACAAATCAAAGAAGGCACCAAGCTATGAATTTTCAATTAGGATAATTGAAGGTCAGCCAAACAGCACCTCTATCTGCCCCTGATGCCTCATTAATAAGGCAGTCATTTCCCGCTGCAACTTTTATTTTAACCACTAAAGAGAAAATCTAAGGACTAGGGTATATGTTTCTGCATATATGCCTCCATACATAGATTATTCTAAGAAAACAGAAGAGAATTTCTTTGCACTTGTTTCCTTTAAGCCAAAACTCATGTTAGATTGTAGCATCTAGCACGTCAAACTTTTCAACAAGTCACAAGGCATGGAAAAGAGCATCTGTGGGTCAGGTCACTTTTCTCAGGCAGTGTGGGTGGTGGTGTTTTGGTTTTTTTTTTCCTCTTGTCTGGTGTTAGTGAGGGCTTAGTTGACTATGCTTGTAGCTCCAGCTTTGGGAATATAATTTTTGCCTTCCATCTAAACACTCCACTTTCCATTTTTGTAGGAAGGAAGGAAGCCTTCTCAAGTGACAGCAAGCATAATTGGGATAAACACCGATAAGCATATCTTCCCAGATTAATAATCAGAATTCCAATTTCCCATTTAAAAAAAAATCTAAATTTCAGGGATGTGGTCAGATTTGCCCAAGTCATCAGCAATTTAGCAGCAGAGATATGAATATGGTCTAATTCTTCAGATTGCTAATCTGTGTTTAACTTCATTTACTATGATTCTATATCCAAAATGCTTCTAACAGCACTCTGGGTGCTAGAGTTACATATTAGAATTTTTGCTTAGGAGAATTGCATATCATATTGCACTCAGTATATTCATAATATTCACTAAATGGGAAGGGGGTACGTGATGGTTAATACTGAGTGTTAACTTGATTGGATTGAAGGATACAATGTATTGATACTGGGTGTGTCTGTGAGGGTGTTACCGAAGGAGATTAACATTTGAGTCAGTGGGTTGGGAAAGGCAGGCCTACCCTTAATCTGGGTGGGCACAATCTAATCAGCTGCCAGCATGGCTAGAATAAAAGCAAGCAGAAAAACGTGTAAAGAGAGACTGGCCTAGCCTCCCAGCCTACATCTTTCTCCTGTGCTGGATGCTTCCTGCCCTCGAACACTGGACTCTAGGTTCTTTGGTTTTGGAACTTGGACTGGCTCTCCTTGCTCCTCAGCCTGCAAACAGCCTATTGTGGGACCTTATGATCACGTAAGTTAATAAACTCCCCTTTATATATGCATCTATTCCATTAGTCCTGTCCCTCTAGAGAACCCTGACTAATACAGGGTAACTATATGTCTAAACTGGCATCTGACAAGCAGCCTTGCTTTAGTTCAGCTATATGAAGCTCAGTAACTACTCTCTGTATAAAACAAAGTATACACACACACACACACACACACACCCCCAAGAATCACAACTCAGGCTCAGTTACTCAAAAAGAAAGGGTCCAGGTGGTCAGATCCTACAAATGGTAGGCAGAGAAAAGGGGGACTTTATATAAAATTCACTTGAGAAGGATCATGCTGTTGCTTTTTTTAAATGAATCTTTTATTTTAAAAATAGGTTTTGATTTACAGAAATTTAGCAAATATAGTACAGAGAGCTCCCCTTTGCCCAGCATCCAATCTGCTCAGTTGTTAAGATGTTACATTAATATGGTAAACTTTTCACAAGTAATGAACCAATATTTATACATGGTTATTATTATACATGGATAATTTTATACATGGTTATTCAGATTTCTTTTGTTTTTACCTCTTGTGTTTTTTAAATCCCAGATTCCCATCCTGGGTACCACATGACCAGTCATATCCTCTTAAAATCCTCAACAATGTGACAGTTTCTCAGACTTTCCTTGTTTTTGACGACCTTGACAGTTTTGAGGTAAACTACTCAGGTGTTTTGTAGAATGTCCTCCAGTTTGGGATGTTTGATTTTTTTCATGATTAGACTGGAATTATAGGTTTTGGGGAAAAAGATCACAAAGCTGGTGTCATTCTCATCAGGTGATATCAATGGTACACTCTATCAACACATCTGGCCACTGTTGATGTTAACTTTGGTCACCTGGTGAGGTAGACCACAAGGTCAGACTTTTCCACTGAAAAGTTAACCTTTTTCACCCTTTTCAGAATGTGGCTTTTGGAAAGAAGTCACTCTGCAAAGCCCAGACTTAAGAGGTGGATGTTATGCTGCATCTCCTTGAGGGGGCAGTATCCACATATGTTTCTTTTTAAATCACGTGTGCAATCACAATGTTTATGTAATCACAAGAAACAACGGACAAAAAGGTAAGAAGTGAAAAAGTCTCAGAGAATACCTAGCTCTGTGTTTCTGATTTAGTGAAGACTGTATTTAATAATACCCATGGGTGGTCAGATTTAATGGTCAACATTCATTATTCACTTGGCAAATTTTTTTTGCTGTCTATTCTTCGTTAAATGCTGGGTTCCATCATTTGATCTTCAAATGTGTGGCAGGTAAGAAAAGTGCCACCACTGTCACTCAGATTTCCTATGAAAAGGCCAGGCAGAATGTTGATCCTGGCTGTTACAGATTTAGCTGTAAAGAATACCCGGGATTCTGGACAACAAGTCCAATACTCAATACTGTGGTCACCCTAACACCACTAAGAAGAACAGAACAGGCTGCTTTTGTTAAATATTTGCAAGGGTAATCTTTATTTGCTGAGCTATACCTGCCACTGAGAAATCAAGGATTCAGCTAAAGTTTTATTTGGGTCATCCTAGTGTTCCAGCTCCTCCAGACACAACTTCCTCTCCTACCCTTGACTCTCCTAGCCTCTGTAAACTATTACACTGGTGATATCTAGTTTCCTGCTACTGGAAATAAGCACTGTATGGACTGGTCTTGAATGCCTACTGTCTAATTGTATTATCAATGTGTTTACATGGAATTATTGCTTTAGAACTTTGATGTTCTTTTAAGAGCTCAAATTATTTTGGCATTTTACAGATCAGCCTAGTGGTCTTTGAGAAAATAATGAATATCTACTAAGTGCATAGCATTGTATTAGACATCGTAGAAAATGCCTTCAAAACAGAAAGAGATTACAACAGAATAATTGGTACTGGGAGTTATCATCTAAAAATTGCCAAAGAATATGAAAATCTCATGACTTGGGCATGTAATTCTCATAAGAAAGAGAAAGACAGAGTTGGTCAAGAGAGGTGAGGTCTGGAGAGGGAGACTTTGGGGTGAAATGAAGAAGTTGGGTTGGAATGAACTGGGAAAAGGCGAATCCTCAAAGATTAGACTCAACAGCTTTACCTATAGTCACAATATTCATTGTCACAATCAGATTTTTTCCCTCCGCTTCCCTAAGATTTCTCTTGAGTTTTCCTTTGTAGCACCAGGGATAGTGATGGTCTCATGTTCCTCTTGAGAGTGGTTTACGGTAAAACTCAAAATCTATATTTCTCAAAGTTTTAGGAGCAGAAACTATCTAAATTCAAAGAGATTCATTATACGTTTATTTCTAATATAGTGCATGTTCAAATTTTGTAGGTCAGGCATAGAGCATGTTATTCTTTTCTTTAGCCCTCCCAATATTGGTTATTTTGGCTGTTTTTGGTCAGATAGGATCCCCTGAGCAAGTTTACTCAGTATGCAAATATCCATTGTAACAACATTTCCGTTATTCTGTAATCAGCCTTTTTTTCTCCCTCTGGGTATTGAGTTCATTGACCTCAAAGGTAACTAGTTTCAGAAGATTTAAGACAGAAAAATTTCCATTAAGTTTTTGGGTTCTTGCCCACATGCTGTACAGCAGGAAAAGGAAAGCAATATAATCCAACTTCAGAGCCTGGAAACACTGGACTGAACTTGCCCCTACCACACAGCATTGGGATGGCATGAATGGGATCATTTAAAGATTTGGCAGTCAAACTGGAGGTCTTAATGTCACCATGACTCAAGTTTAGGAAGAGATAAAAGAGGTTTTAGTAAAGGAAAAAGACAATGAAACAAAACAGTGTGTGTCATCTCTCTTTTGACCAATAAATCAGTTTTTTTCCTACTGTTACCGTGAAGTCTATCTTCTGGCCGATACATAGTAATATCTGACTCTCATTTTGGCAAAGTAAGTAAGCAGATTTCCCCCTTCTTTTGTTTTCAGATATGTTAGAAAAGCCAAGAAATTTCAAAAGAAATAGTGGTCTCCCTCCTTATGACGGACAAAGAAAAGAGTAAATTACAGCCCAGGGCTTTCTGATCTCCTCAGCAAACAATATTAGAGAGACAAAAGTACATTTCTCAAAGAAGTACAAACCTCAATCCCTCTATCTGTATTATGAGAAGTGCTTTTAAAATAAACTCTTATTACCATCTAGAATGTATAGTTATTTGAAAAAAAATCATCTTTAAGACACATTCACAAATAAAAAAGATAAAATCTAACTTGCAAACATACAATGTATATGCATGATAAACTTGTAAATATAATTTATCCCAAATGAGAAAGATCATCATGATACAAAGATTTTTCAAGTTATTTCATATTGTAATATTTCATCATGATATAGATTTATATAATTACCCACATCTTCCTCCACTCTCTTCCTCTGTGTATAGGGGATGGAGAGAAGAAATAAGGACTAATAAACTCTAAATGTTAAAGACTTATTTATTTATGTTTTTAATTTTTAATTTTTGTGGGTACATAGTAAGTGTATATATTATAAGGTACATGAGATGTTTTGATACAGGCATGCAATGTGAAATAAGCACATCATGGAGAATGGGGTATCCATCCCCTCAAGTATTTATCCATTGAGTTGCAAACAATCCAATTACACTATTTAAGTTACTTTAAAATGTATAATTATTATTGACTACAGTTACCCTGTTGTGCTATCAAATAATTATTTTATTTTTTAAAAAAGTTATTTCAAAAGATTCTTATTTATTGAAGTTCTTAGGTTTATTAAAAGGCTACATATATCAGTTTGATTAATGACTAGAAGAAATGTATTACAGCATCTGGGGTGTGGGGATAGAACAGTAGAAAAGGCGATAACAAATGCAAAATACTTTTGTACAATAATCAAAAGCTGGGAGACTAATAAGCTACCTCTATCATGTATCTATCCTTTAGGCCATTGTTCTGCCCAAGTACATAGTTTACTCTTGGCAACAACATAACACACTACTAATTTTTCCTGGTTTGTCCTACTCTGGCTCCACTATACCAGACTAATTTCATTTTGTCTTCTGGTTGGCCCATATGTTCATTCTTACAGATTTATCTTTCCAACGTCTTTGCATAAGTCATGCCTTTCCTCCTCCAGTGGGCTTCACTGATGTTACTCACAACCAACCTGGAACACCCCTCCTTCAACCTTCTATCTTAGCTTTACAGATATTTAAACATTCAACCCAAGTTTCTTCTTGAAAGCTTCTTCAGTTTTTATACCACTTGGATTACCTAATTTTTATTGAATTTCAAAGTGTCTGGATTGCACAATTTGTTCCTTAGCTATTTTCTAATTCTTTCAAAGTGTGTTAGCTAGTTTGACTTCTAGGCTATACTATTAAATTGCCAAAATAAGAAAATATGCCTCGAATTTCTACTGTAATTAACATGGCTCTTTGTAGTTCTGTACTAAATTTGATGTTGCATAAATGTTGGAAGGTAATTGACTTAACTTCACCTATCTGAGAAAGATGCATGTAAAATCTCCAAACTATTTCAGACATCTTCATGAAATGGTCTTATTGCATCAGAACAGAAGGAATAATATTAAATGGTTGGGGTGGGCTGGGGGTAAATGAACCTAGAGAGGAAGGGATAGAGAGCATATACTATACCTCATCTTATTTAATCTTTCCTCTGAATCTGGTATTATAGCCACCATTTTAAGGATGAAGAAACTGACATTCAGACAGGTTATATAGCTTGCTCGAGTTTATAAGGCAAGCAAGGGGCAGAAGCAAGATTTGAACCACAGTTTTTTGACTCAAAGCCCAGGTTCTTTCTATCACCTCTATAAACAGCTTCCTCAATAGGGTGTCATAATATAGACCTTTAAGGAAATATGCATCAATTATATAATTAAAACTGAAATAATTTGGAAAGAAAATACAAGGTATTTCTTTCCATCTATATTAAGCCCAAGGGAATATTGAGAGAGTGTAAAAAGTCAAAGAAAGCTTTATGTATAGATGGGAGCTTGATCTAGAATTTATAAAGTTAGAGGAGGGAAAGGAAATAGGAAGAATAAGTGAGGAAGGGAAATGTTGGTATATGTGGAGATGATAGAATGGAAGATAGAATCTAAGGTGAAGAACAGAGTTTGAAGTTGGTGTATCAGTCAGTTTTGCTACAATGTTGCTGTGTACCAAACAAGCCCTAGATCTTAGCGGCTTATACCAATAAACATGTATTTCTTGCTCATGAGTCTGCAGTTTAGGAATGTTTCTCCTGGATTTTGGCTAAGCTTTCCTGGGTTTAGCTGGATTTGGCTCTAGACTACAGTCCACGTTTTCTCATTCTAGGGCCCAGTCCACAGGATCTATGCCTACCTGGGGCATACTTACTAATGGAAGATGTCAGAAACTCAAGAGGGCTGGCAGAATCTTGCCATGTCTTTTAAGACCTTCACTCTGAACTAACACCTTGACACCTTCATTCACTACATTTGGCAAAACCAAGTAATATATCCAGGTCCAATTTCAGTGCGGTAGGGAAATACACTCTATCCAGAGGGAAGTCATGGTAAGGATTGGGAAGGGAGGAAGAATTATGAACAAATCAAAACAAACTATTTGACTGGATATGTCTTGCATAGAGGAGTAGGCAGGTGAAAGAAAACCATACAAATTTAAAAGGAGTTCACATGATTGTAGGGAGCTCTACATTCTCTTCAGCTTGGAAATGACAAAATAAAATTAGTGTTTCAGGAAGTTCAGAATTACAATATGATAAAGTGGAACAAAGGGGAAAAAGAATGACTCACCACAGAGAACAGTGCTTGCTATGGTAACACTGGCCTAATGCCTGTTCAATGGTACAATCAGAATAGAGGAAAAAATAAATTAAGGATATGCTTAGAAGGTAGTAATGATAGAAAACATTTAAAAAACAGCCCCAATACTTTACTCCTGTGTCTTGGAAGGATTGTGTTACCACGAGGAGGAAAAAAAGGAGATAGGCTGAAGCTGGGATCATGAGTCCCTTTAGGAATTGCTGATTTGAAATGATGATAGGCTGTCTAAATGGATCTATGTTGCAAGCAGTAATTACATAAGGAAAGAATCCAGATGAGAAAGCAAAGTAAAAAAATAGATCTTAGAATCATCTGTGTAGAGATGATAATTTTAGTCATCAAACTCAATTAGGTCACTTAAAAGAGTAGTGAGAGACGGGTTAGTTCATGAAGAAAAGGCTTCAAATCATGAGAATTATATGAATAATATATTTTTTGTATTTCTCACCATCTTTATGGTCAAAAAGTATGCAGATCAGCTAATGCTTTCAATGTCAGATTGCCATTTTTCTTTTGATTACCACCAGATATATTAAGCAAAATAAGGTATTTTCCTTGAGCCTTCAAAGGATTCTGGTGTGACTGGATGCAGATCTTCAAGAGCCTAGGCCTTTCTGGCATCCGTAGAGAACATGGTAATTGCTACATCAACTGTGCCAGATAAAGGAGAATAAAGGCCTTCAAGAAAACTTTACCAGAACACCAGCCTACATGTCAAAGTCCTCAGTTACCACCACCAAGACCCAGTAACATAAGATGAAAATCCTGCTGGACAAAGATTCCAGGGTTGGGAAGTTTTTTTGACTTCATTAGCAGTGAAAGCTTAGGGAATAGTTCGGGGCCTTACTCAAAGCAGGAGTCACTTTAATAGCAGTGAGACAGAAGTTTCAGGGTACCAAGAGACCATGCACCAGGAGACCAGCCCTTGACACTTTATTCTGTACCCACTTGGATGTTAACCATACAGATTTCACCCCTCTGCTGTTAATATTTTTTCCATACAAGTCTGTGAAGCTCTAGTCTTTTCACTATTCTTTTCTTCTGGTGGTTGGATAACTAGGATAACTGGATGATGTCTTCAAAGTGGGGTAGGAGTTTGATCAGGTTCTGAATTCTTTGATTATATCTCCTTTGAAAGAAATGGAGGGCCGTGAGTGAGAACATCCACTCATGGTTCTATTACGTATTTGAGGCAGATTCCATGAGTCGGTTATGCTCCTGTCTCCATTAGCAACATCAAAAGAGTAGAAGAAGTATTACAGTTTTTATTTGTTACAATATGTAGAATTGTTCCTTCTGGAAAAACCACATAGATGCTACTGTACCTTGCTTTCTGGGTGGGAATGGGCTGAATTTCAGACCCTGTACAAGAGAATTTGTCCAAGAATCTCCGAGAACAGTGTGCCAAATCAGTAGTTCCGACATGTTCCGTGAGACAGGCCTACCCACTGCCGGGGTTCTGCTGTTACAAAATAACAATTTCAAAAGCAGTACAAAACGATGTATATGTAAGTGTGTATATAAACATATATTTATAAATATACATATTATCAAGTAAATAAAAATTATATATATATATGCCTTTGTATAATTTTGAAGTCTTTTTGGGAGGAGGGCTATTTTTTATTCTAACAGTATTCTATCTAACTTTTGGAGTCAAAAATGCTTTTCAAAAAACTAAAATTGAAAGGTAAGTATTGCGTGTCCCCTAAGTGCATAGCCTCCAGACTCATACTTTTTGGTTAGAGCATCATATTTGCCAACCGTTAGCTATGTAGCTTTTGGCAACCCAGTTAACCTTGCTACCCACCTTTTAGGGTTGTTGTGAGGATTAAATGAGATTATTTGTTTATTTCACAAATGGCCCTAGTGCTTATTCTGAGCCAGACATTGCTCTGAGCACTTGAGATATATTAATGTCCTTAATGTTCAAAGTGAACTTATGAGACAGGCACTCCTATTTTTATCTTATAGGAGAGGAAACTGAAGTACCAAGATCCTAATTGACTTGTCCAGGGCACATGGATGCTAAGTGGCAGAACTAACATTCTCACCAAGGAACTCTGACTTCAAAGCCGAGAGTAAAGTGCATAGTACAGTGTATGGCATTGATCATCATCATCGTTAGTGATAAGCACTGTTTTACTTAATGCCCTTATTTGGAAAAATATTAATTTCATTATTCTAAAACGGCCCCCTTCATTAGTCTTAAAATTTTTAGTAGTCCATGAAATTGAAAATCCAGGAATTACTCAATTTTACATTTCTGAGTCTCTACATTTCCTCATCTCTGAGTTGAAAATACTGTACATTCTGGCTTCTCTATTGCTCTTGATTTTTGCAAAAATTCAATGAGATAATTTAAGTAAAGATATTTAAAAAATCATCATTCCAATCTAAGTGTTTTTAACCATATTAATAAATAGTTTTTATTTTTTTACAATGTAGAGAACAGTGAGGTGGATGAGAGGAAAGTCTCCCAAGTCTGCATCTGCATGTGTGCACACACACATCACACACACTCACAGAATGATGAAAAGCCCTTCAGTGTGTTGGTTTAATGACATAGTAGGGTTTCATGCTGTTTTACAAAATACAGCACAGGTTTAAAAATCTTTGGACATTAGAAGGTACATGACTGCCACCTTTTAAACTGGGGGTTAAAAAGTGGGCATAAGAACCAAGGAATCTTGAGTCACTATGTGCAAGACAGTCAAGCTGTGGTGAGCAAAGCATCCAAGCTGCAGATATTTGCACAATTTTACTAGCACAAACACCCTAGGTACTGATGCTTTCATGGAAATTCTGGCTGTGTAACTGTGTTAACTCTGGCTTAGGCTTGAAGCTATTTTCAGAACCCTTCACAAACTTACAGGAAGTACCTTCCCTTTTTATTGACATTTGGTATTGTTATGTTGAAATATTGCACATGCAGGACAACTTTTTTCCTTTGCCTCTACTCATAGTCAGGTTTTAAAAATCATACATGTATGAATATCCATGAAAACATATAAACACACCTTTCTGGCTGAGCTCATCAAAAAAAAAATAATTTAAAATAAATATCCCAGCTCTAGCCTGATAGAGATGCTAGACCCAGTGGCTCTTTCTAGCAAAGCGTGAGGGTTTTAGACTTGGTCAAAAAGACTGAGCCTCCCCGGGCTCCAGCATGAGCTGTGGCAAAATCAATAAACAAATAAATAAAGTAAAGTAAAGACCAGAGGCTCCATGGAGAGTTGGGGCTCCCTGTCTCTTTCATGAGTAATGAATGTGGCAACCACAGAGACTTGGAAAGAGCTGGGATTCTCACATCTGCAAGCTGACTTTCAAGTAGGTCAGGGAACTATTTCAGGGACTTGCTGGGGGGAATCAAGGGCTAACTTAAAAGAGGGGGTTCAGATAGCACAGAAAGAACCTGAAAGGAAGATACAAGAGAGATTGCTAGAAGTCTACCCTCCCTGCCTTCTGAAATTTGTGTGTATTAAAGTTTCAATCTCCAGGACCTGTTGTGCAATGTGACCAAATTTCCCAGCCAGTTTCTAGAGAAGGCAATTTGTGCCCAAAGAGGCCCACCTGAGGAGACCATCTGTCTCAAGGCTGTTTCACTGTCCTGGGTGGTCTCAGGCTCTTGAAAGGGAACATCTTTCTCTCGAGAAATACACATGAAGTAAATAGGACAGAAGCTGGCTCTTACACATTGGCCTTCTCACTGCATCCCAAATCCTTCATGTTTTCTTTCATACAGGGGGGCTTTCATGGGTGTTTCTTATATACCTACTTTTAAATGCCAGTAAGGAAAAATGTCAAGAGAAAAGAAAGAAGACACAGAGAGGCCCAGAGAGCACTTGTAGATCCAGACATGAGCAAAACAACTGCCATCATCTTGGTGACTATGACCTCTCCCCTGCTCCGCAACTCAAAGGTCAATTTTCAAGGTCATGGAAGGCCAGAAAGATAGAAATCTGGCACTTCGTTCCATGCAAAACAGCTGCTTTTCCATAATGCAACACAATACAACCAATTTGTGTACTGTTTACATAAAAAAATCCCTGAAGCAATAATACAGACCCTAATTTGCATGAGAATTGCTTTTCACTTACGTATTCATAGGAATCAAGAAGATGCAGATTTACTTTCACATTTGTAGACTGCATTTCCCATCCACTTCTATGTAGAATGCATGATTGCATATGTAACAGGTCACTTTACCTGCTCTTCGTATATTTAAGGTATCTTATAATTCAAAGAAGCTATTAATAATTCTTCCAAGAATTAAGCAATGTAGCTGAGGGAGCTGCTTCTTTAAAAGAAAGTCAGAAGTAGAATTTGGCATAAGAGGGAGCCAACATGAAGCTGTAAGGATAGTTCCCCTTATCTCTTCTGAAATAACCAGAACTTATCAGGCAACTTTGCTCTGTTCTGGAAGCCTGCTGTTCTATGGAAAAAAGGAATCTCTGCTTAGCTGCACTAGTCATCAAAATGTTTATCACTTACTCATCTAATAAGAGGAGTTCTGGGAGCTTAAGCCTTAAAGAAAAAAGATGGAAAAGAAAAAAGAATTGTAAAAACTTTCCAGTTATGTGATTAGCAAGGATACATGAATATTGGAAACTGAAGAAGAAATGAAATGAAAACCAATCACAATACATTGACTCACCTGGATTTGCTTTTTTTTTTTTCATTTAAAAATATCAGGATACAAGTACATTTCAACCTCTGCCACATTAGAAAAAAAATGACTCTTTGTTTGGCAACTACTTTCATTTCCTAAGACACCAATTTTTTTCAACATATAAAAGGTGAAATTCACTTCTTAAAAATGAAGTATTTCCATCCTACATTTGGGACAGTATTCTCTTTCATTCTTTGAAGGGTGGCTAAAAAGAGAGACCATATTTGCCTATAAGAAGCAACATAGATATCTCCCACCAAAGGGCCTTTCAACTTCAGGGATCACAGTGAAGTAAGTGGAGTTATTAGGCCCACCTATTCACCGAGGAGAATAGGTGTCTGTATCACTCCTGAAAAAGACATGGTCTTAGAGAGCCTGGAGTACAATATTATAAAAGATAGCAAGATCTCATTCTATGGAAGGTTCACAGCATCTGCATAAATTCATAAATCTGCATCAACACTCTTAAAGAGAGGATAGGGGAGGGAGAGACAATGAGTAAGAGAGAGCAAGACAGGCAGAGAGAGAGAGAGAAATAGAGAACGAAAACAAATTACTAATAACAGGAAGGAAAATGTCATCAAATCAAGTGCTATAAACATTACAAAGAAAATAATAAGATATCAACTTTATGCCAAGGAATTTGAAAAGGTAGAGTAAATGGACAAATTCTTAACAAAACTTGATTTTTTTAAAAAAAGGAATAAATACAAAATGTAAATAACTATACTAAACTATTAAGTTGAAGGCATAATTCAAACTCTTTTCAAAAACTAATTCCATGCTCACTTAGATGGTTCCACCGATAAATTCCATTCAGTATTTAAGAAGGAATTAACACCAATTTTGCACAAGTACTTCCAGATTTCAAGCAGTGAGAACACTTTTTATTTTATTTTATGATGTCAACATAAGCTTGATCCCAATACATGACAATGATATTACAAGAAAGAAAGCTTATAATTCAATCTCTCAGAAACATAGATGCAAACAATTTAAATGAATTATAAGCAATGAAATATAAAAATGATAATACTTTATAACATGATTTGACTTATTCTGGGAATGCAGGGTCATTTAATATTGTTAATTAATCAATAAATTTTATTTCATTAAGAGAACAAAAAGGATATCATGTAATCATCTTAAAAGTTCAGAAAAAACATTTACTATAATTCAATGGCAGGTCCAAAATTTCTCAGGCAACCAGGAGTAGGTGGGAACTTCAATATATGATAAAACAAAACTATAAAAATTATATAGCAAACACTTATATATTTAATAGTGAAAATAATGAAAGTTTAGCCTTGAAATTGGGAGTGAAACATGGATGCCTACTAGCATCACTTATATTTCGCACTGCACTGAATAAATCTCAAGATAGTTCAGTAAGCAAAAGCAAAATATTAAAATGTATAAAAAAGAAAGCAATAGAATTTTTCAGAAATGACACAATTGTGTATATAAAAATTCAAAAGTATCCATTGAGAAACTACAGAAGAGCAAGTTTGGCAAAGCTGCTGGATATAGTTTGCAAAAATCAATTGGACTTTTATATATTAGTAACAAATAAGTAGAAAATGAAAGTAATATCTTAATATTGAAACTATAAAAACACTATTAACATTAAAAAAGAACAAAATAAATAAAGGGATATACAATGTTCATGAATTTTAAGATTCAATATTTGAGAGATGCTCATACTTTCAATAGTATTGCATAGATTTAACAAAATTTGAATCAAAATATTAGCATATTTTGTTATGAACATCAATAAAATGGTTTTTAAATTAGTATGGAAATGCAAAGAACCCAGAATAATAGCCGTGATAATCTTGAAGAAGAAAAAGAGCAAATGTGAAGAAATTATATTACTAGGTAGCTAGACCGATTATAGAACTATAGTAACTACGACAGTGTCGTATTAGTGCAAGGATAAGTATATTGACCAATGGAATAGAGTCTAGAAAAAGATTCACTCATTAGATTAATAGCAGAGGTGACAATGAAGTGTGATGGGGAATAGAATTTTTTTTTCAATATTGGATATTGGGAAATGGACACACACAGAGAGGGAAAAAGAGAAAGAGAAGTGGTTACTTTGGGGGATGAGGCAGAAGGGAGCAAAGTCCTCTGGAGTGCTGGTCATGTTTTCTTTCAGGATTTGGATAGAGGTTACAAGGGCGTGTTCACCTATGAATGTACACTGAGCTGAATGCTTATGATTTCTGCACTTTTCTGCATGCATATCATTAAATCAGTGAGTGATTTATAGTTAATTCTAAACTCTAACAAAGTTTTTTCATAGAAGTGTTTTTGGCTAAGTTAATTAAAATAAAAGTTGACTGATTTATGCTTTAATTTACAAAACCTTTTTGCCACACCTTTAACGATGAAACTTATTTCTTCTTTTCTGCCAAAGCAGGATTTTCCATTACTGCCTGCTGCTATTGCATTAGAAAGTTGCCATTTCAAACACCTCTGGAAGGTTCCATTTCTGCTTGGAGCCTATTTAAGTTGGAGCCATTTAGAACTTTTTAATTTGCAAAAAGTCTCCATGCACCCTTTATAGGCATTTGTCAGTTCTCACTTACCAACTTTACACGGAGGTAAAGTTGCATCTAAAAGTTACTTTGCTGGAAAGCAGGCATAAAACTCTGGGGTAAGAAGCTCACTCATATGAGCTCACTTCATTTGCACTCACTTATATGAGTTGGTATTCCCTAGCAGGAATTGTTTAATGGAATTATGTATTCTAAATGAAATTGGGAGAGCCGAGAGAACAGGTTGGAGAAAATGGAGATTCATTTTCTATGGCACCCCTTCATGTGTAGACACATAATGAAAAATTGGTGCTCTCTGGAGGCTGAATTTGGTGAAACAAAGCAGAGTTTAGCGAACACGCTGGGAAACTTCTTTCTGACCCTCCAAAAGCCACTGCACCAAGGCTACTCCCATCCAAGAGGCAGTCAGCAGAGAAAGGTCGAATGTGGCTGAAAAGCCACCACCATGATGAAGCATTTCCTGATTTCTCTACTCATAATTTCTCCCTCTACTTTGGTTCACTATACTTTGTTTATATTCATTTTTATCTTTATATTCAACAAAATGATATTGGCCTTGCTTAAAGAAAATGGTCTCATTTTCTCTTTTTATAACTGAGTGAGTTGCTGCAAGGATTGTAATATTAAACTATTACATTTTATCTAATGTTACCCACATCTTCTTTAACCAGCATATTATTTCAACTTCCTCCTCACAATGCTGATGAAGAATTTCTTAGACGAGAACAGATATTGATACACTTATTTTCATAACGGTATCATTCATGATAGACAAAATGTGAAGGCAACTCAAGTGTCCATCAGCAGATAAATGGGTAAACACGATGTGGTTTATACATACAATGGAATATTATTCAGCCTTAAATAGGAAGATAATTTGACACATACCACAACAGGATGAATCTTGAAGACATTACTCTAAGTAAAATAAGCCAGACACAAAAGACAAACATTGTCTGATTCCACTTATATGAGGTTCCTAGAGAAGTCAAATTCATAGACACAGAGAGTAGAATGGTGGTTGTCAGTGGCTGCAGGCAGGGAGGAATGGGGAGTTAGTGTTTAATGAGCACAGTTTCATGTGGGGAAGATGAACTAGTTCTGGAGCTACATGGTGATAATGGTGATATAACAATGTGAATGTACTTAATGCTTTCAGGACTGTACTCTTAAAAATGGTTAAAATGATAAATTTTATATTATGTGTCTTTTACTGTATGTAGTAAAACCATTTTAAAATTAAAAAATGATTCTTATTTTCCCCCAGAAATTCCTGGGTTTTATCATTTTGTTCCTGATTTTTTATTCTGCTTGTCCCTAACTTTTCTGTCTCATGTACCAACACATGCCCTGTATTTGACTTTGGACAATGTTTCAGTATATTCTCACATACAAAATGCTAAACACATTACCTAAGGGATCTGGAAAGGCAGTTTGTTGTTGTTTAGCTGCAATACCTCAGAGCAGAGAAATTTAGTTATGAATTACTCTTGAGGTTTTTGGACAATGGGACAGAATGTGCTGAAACAAAGAAATAATAATAATATTATTAGAGTCAGAGAAGGCCACTCAGCTTCCTGTTTCAGACTCCAGAGAAAATATGTCTTTAGTAATTAAAAGATATCTCATGGAGAAGCTTCTTAATTTAAAACAATTCAAATTGAAAAGAAAAAAATAATTTCCAATGATTATTATATTTTCCAGTTTGTCTTTTAGTTTTCTATAAGAAAGAAAGCACCATCTACCTTTTCCCAGCCAATTGCTTACTTAATTTTGGTTTCTCTCTTCCTCTCACTCTCTCCTTTTCACATATAAAGCTCCTTCGAACTTACAGAATGAAATCCAAACTCCTTGTCATTGAATATAAAGTCTATTACAATCTGGCCTCATACCATTTTTCATGCCTTATCTCCTAACACTGCCCAACAGCCTTAGATTTGCTCCAGGCATACCCCACCACCCACCTTTCAGAATGGGCCACGGTGCATCATTTTTTCCTTTCTTTACATATGCTATGTCCTCTGCTCATAATACTTTCCCACCCTTCTTCATGTGACACCTTTCTGTTCATCTTTGAAACAATTCAATTATCACCCTCTCTGTGAGTCAATCTGTACTTACTTTCCCTTCTCTGCCCATTGGTTGCCTACCCCTCTGAAATGACTTGTCAGTGATTCAAAGACATTGTGTCTAGTTCTGCTATGGTACTCATACCACATGGTCACCATTGGTGTACGTGTTTCAGCTTTTAGGCTAGAAGATTCTCCAAAGTGGTGTCATAATTATATTCCAGCAGCTGGCACAGTGTCTTAGAGTAGCCTCTCAGGGCCTTGTTTGACTACATAGATGAATAATGAATGGAAATGAATGAATGCAAATTAAGACATAAACATTCATTATGGATTTCACAGATAGAACACAGAAACTTATTGCTCAGAAGCAGGAGTGAAGGAATGAAGGTACAGATTGTGTCTAACAGAAAGGGCAGAGTTTTTGTAGTTACTTTGAATTTCTACCCTACTTAAAAATTCAAAATGACTTTATGATTTTGAAAATCAATTTATATCAGTTAACTGCTTCAAAGTTGAAAAGTAATAAATTGTCTTCATTATATAAAATTAAAGTAATGCTTCTACTAGCAATTATTAATAGAAAAGAATCCCTTTCTACACAGAAAATGTGTGATAGGAAAGTACATAGAATTGTTTCCACATACAATACTTTTAAGTTATATCCCTGGAGCCATTTGGCCTGGGATATGAAGGTGGAAAGAAACTTAGTTTTATGCATATGCACGCTCACACACAGTACACTCTCTTATGTAAACCAGGCAGTGACAAGTTACTTGGATGGCTAAATCAGAACTGGTCCACCAAACAAAATTGTGCACTGTGTGGAAGAGCATTAGGGCTGCTGGGTTTTAAGGTTTGCCTTGGCTTGAATTCATTGTAACACCACCCACCTCTCTCCAGTTGGAATATTCTAACCAGGTCACCTAGATGCTGTGAAACAGATGTTCATTGAAGGGAAAAGGAAATAGGTGGTGTCCATTGAAAAGTGATAGCCGTGGCAGAGGGGAAAGTATATTTTTACCTGCAACGCAAACTGAATATTATGGAAAGTTATTGGTAGGGCAGAAATTCCTAGCTCTCCAGGAATCTGCAGCACTTAGTAAGCACTTCAGTGTACTGAGACACAAGAAAGCAGAGTGGTGGGGTGCTTGGGCTCTGAGGACAGACTCTTTGGCTTTGACTTCCAGCTCTGCATTACTAGCCATGTGACCTTGGGCAAATCACTTAATCTTTCTTTTCAGTTTCTTATCTATAAAACTGGGATAATAATAATGCCTACTTCATAGAGTTCTTGTAGTGATTACATAAATTGATACATGTAAAATATTTCCAATAGTGCATGGGACTGCTAATTATTATTATGACAATGATTGTCTCTGTGTCGTGGGACACCATTGCTGATTTGGGTTGGCAGTGATTTAATGCAGAGTTCTAACAAGGGAAGAACTCTTCATCAGGCTCCATCAATGAACTAGAAAACCCAGTACATTCTCCATGCTAAGAACATTTGTGTTTACAAAAGCCAGGAAGGGAGATGGCAAAAACAAGAAACTACAGGCCTTCAAACCATCCTTTTACATTCCTAAAACTGCACTTTACAAAGAGCATGCACAGGCTGTGGGCTGGTTTCAGCTCTTCTCCTGCGAACTAGCTAGGCAGCCTGTCAGCAGATTGATGGAGCTATTACTTGGGAACACTTAGGTTCAGCTTTGGGACTCCAGATTCCTTCCTTGAATCTTTCTCCCCTACACCTTCATGATCTTTCCAGACTTTCACTCAATGTCTCTTTTCTTATACAGGAATTTATACTAGTGAGGGTTTTCTTACCTGATTAAGTTATACATCTGTTTTGCTATTTAAGATGTATGTTACAAACAGACTTCTGACATTGTAATAAAAACTAAACGAAGTCACTGATTGACAGCAGTAGCATCTTAGCTTGGATCTAAAACCAAAGCCCAAATAAACAAGCAAATATTTAAGCATCTGTATGGTTAATGACAAATAATGTCATGTCCTCACTATGAAATATGTAGATGTTAGGAATTTATATACTGTATTTGCACACACGCATGACTAATACATACAAAATAGGGGAGTTTATGTATGTACATCTATCTATTATCTGTCTATCTGTCTATCTATCTTGTAAGTTGCAAAACAGCATGAAAATATGGTTTCATTCGGTAAAAAGTTTGAATACAGTATATGTATTCTAAATGTTTATACAGGCATAAAAAACATCTGAAGATATACATATTTCTTTTAGGGAGTAGAATTTGGAGGGTAGGTGAAGGGTGAAGAGGTTTTATTTTTTATGATTCTGAACTGTTTGAAATTTTACAACAAACATGTATTGCTTATAATAAAATGTTTTAAACAGTTATTCATATATATCATACTCAAATAACAAATTGTCAAATATAAACAAAAAGTGCATTATTCTCTGCCAATAATTACTGGCCATTTCTTGAATAATTCAAAAGGATTTTCAAGGTTTTCTGTGGCTCAAGAGTAATAACTTTCCATAATTGTGTAAAAATACAGAATTAAGAGATTAGGCTCTATCAGAACTGTTATGACTGAGGAATAAAGAGTATAATTGGGAAAGTTATGAGAAATGAGGTTGCAGAGGAAAGCAGGTATGGTATACTAAGGCATTAGACATTGATACATAAAGCAACAGAAACGCTTTAAGTAGGTAGAGTAACATAAAAGTTGCATTTCCAACAGACTACTGGGTGAAAGTTGGAAAAAGAAGTGAGCGATGCAAGAGTGGAAGCAGAACTTATGATTTAAGACTGATAATCTTAAAGTTTCTGCCTCAGTTGAGGAATAAGGCTTATAAATCAAACAGCTAGAGAACAAAATGTTAGCTTTTTGACCGAGGAAGTTCAATCAGCTGCTTGTGTCCAATGGCTGGGCTTCCTCATTTCTTCTTTCTCAATTCCAAGTCAAGACTTTGGACTGACCCATTCAAGTGACGATTTCAGCCTGCAGAGTTAGTTATTTGTTCCTTGCAATCCCTAGGGACTAAAGCGGGAAACGAGGCACAGGTTCTCAGACGTGTCTTTGGAGGCAGCTTTGGATCAAGACCAAGACCTAATTATCTTGGTCTGAAGAGCAGAGAAGAATGTGTCCTTTCTTTGGGCAGGCAGATACCACAGGACAAAACCTAAAAGGATTGAACCATGAATGCTTGTGTCTCTTCTTTAGGGGGTGGGGCCATAAGTGAGAAAACGAGGAGACGGAATTGTTGCTGGAATACTTTCCTCTTTTTTCACAAAGAATTTGATGGTTAGGGAATAAGTGTGACCCTGGAGCAGAGGGGTCAGGCAGAGTGAGCTTCAATCACTTTAGAAGTTGCAATGTCCTGAGATAAGGGACAGATTCCCTGAGGTGGGATGGAGCATCTCGGAGTCAGCTGGAGTACAATGGTGTGCTTCTTCAGCATAGATGAGTTCCTGTAGAACCATGAAGAGTTGGCTCAGCAGAATGGGAACATGAATTTATGAAACTAAAACTTGGGGGCTTTTTTAAAGAAATTGAAATGAGCTATTTTCATCTTAGAGGAATAAGCTAATAGTTTAAAGATACATTTGCAAGTTTCTCTGGTTGTGTTTTGAGGTTTTCCATTTAGAAGAGGAATTCCATCATGTTCTGTGTCCTCTCTCTCTCTCTCTCTGCAGGCATAAAATAATACCCCCTTCCAAGCTTTAAGCTGCGTACTATTTCATGGGTAGGCTGAAAACAAGTCTGCAGAAAGATTTGTGCATGAATGTTCACAGTAGCTTTGTTCATAATGGCCTCTAACAGGAAAACTAAAAATATACTTATCAGCAAGTAAATGGATAAGCAAATTGCTACTCAGTAATGTGAACAAACTATTAACACACAACAGCATGTATGATCCAAAAAATATTACGCTGAGTAAAAGAAGGCTACAGAGTACTTACTCTAGATTTCCATTTATATGAAACTCTAGGAAAAATGAACATAATGCATAGTGACAGAGAGATCAGTGGTGGCCTGCAGCCAGTGTTGGGGTGTCAATTTACTGGAAAAGGGCACCAAAAAACCTTTGAAAGTGATGGAAGTTTTTGTAAATTAATTGTACTACTCTTTACAAAGATGTACGATTTTGTCAATCAATGTGCAAAAATCACTAACATTCCTACACATCAACAACAGTCAAGCCAAGAGCCAAATAATGAACGCAGTCGCATTCACAATAGCCACAAAAAGAACAAAAATAGCTAGGAATACAGCTAACCATGGAGGTGAAAGATCTCTACAAGGAGAACTACAAAACACTGCTCAAAAGAAATCAGAAATGACAAACACAAACGCAAAACATTTCATGATATTGGATAGGAAAAATCAATGTTGTTAAAATGGCCATAGAGTCCAAAGCAATTTATAGATTCAGTGCTATTCCTATTAAACTACCATTGACATTCTTCACAGAACTAGGAAAAACTATTTTAAAATTTTTATTATATGGAACCAAAAAAGAGCCTGACTAGCCAAGGCAATCCTAAGCAAAATGAACAAAGCTGGAGGCATCATTCTATCTGACTTCAAACTATACCACAAGGGCTACAGTAACTAAAATAGCATGGTACTGGTACAAAAACAGACACATAGATGAATGGAACAGAATAGAGAACCCAGAACTAAGACCACACAAATACAACTACCTGATTTTCAACAAACCTGACCAAAAAAAAGCAATGGGGAAAGGATTTCCTATTCAATAAATGGACCTGAGAGAACAGGCCAGCCATATGCAGAAGATTGAAACTAGACCCCTTCCTTATACTATCTACAAAAATTAACTAAAGATTTATTAAAGACTTAAGTGTAAAACCTAAAGCTATAAAAACTCCAGAAGACAACCTAGGCAACATCATTCTGGACTTAGGAATGGGCTAAGATTTCATGATGAAGATGTCAAAAGCAATCACAAGAACAAAACTTGACAGATGGGATCTAATTAAACTAAAGAGCTTCTGCACAACAAAGGAATCTATCAACAGAGTAAACAGACAGCCTACAGAATAGGAAAAAATTTTTGTGAACTATACATCTGACAAAGGTCTAATATCCAGCATCTATAAATAAACAAATTATCAAGCAAAAACCAACCCCATTAAAAAGTAGACAAAGGACATGAACAGATACTTTTCAAAAGAAGACATAGATGTGGCCAATAAGCACATGAGAAAAAGCTCAACATCACTGATCATTAGAGAAATGCAGATCAAAACCACAGTGAGATACCATCTCACGCCAGTCAGAATGGCTATTACTAAAAAGTCAAAAAATAACAGACACTGGTAAGGTTGCAGAAGAAAAGGAACACTTATACACTGTTGGTGAGATTGTAAATTAGTACAACCATTGTGGAAGACACTGCGGTGGTTCCTCAAAGACCTAAAAACAGAAATACCATTTGACCCAGCAATCCCATTACTCAAAGGAATATAAATCATTCTACCATAAAGATACATAAACGTGAATGTTCATTGCAGCACTGTTCACAATAGCAAAGGCGTGGAATCAACTAAATTCCCATCAGTGGTAGACTGGATAAAGAAAATGTGGTACATATACACCATGGAATACTATGCAGCCATAAAAAGAATGAGATCATGTCCTTTGCAGGGACATGGATGGAGCAGGAGGCCATTATCCTCAGCAAACTAATGCAAGAACAGAAAACCAAACATTGCAATGTTCTCACTTATGAGTGGGAGCTAAATGATGAGAACACATGGACACATAGAGGGAAACAACACACACTGGGGCCTATCAGAGGGTGGAGGGCAGGAGGTGGGAGAGGATCAGAAAAGATAACTAATGAATACTAGGTTTAATACTTGGGTGTAGAAATAATCTGTACAATAAACCCCCATGACACAGGTTATCTATATAACAAATCTGTACATGTACCCCAACCTTAAAATAAAAGTTAAAAAAATAAATAAAAAAAACAAAGATGTATGATTTCATCAAACTTACTAGACTCTAAAGTGGGTACATTTTATTGCTTATATGCCTCAATAAGACTTAATTTTAAAAGTTCTCCATAAAATCAAGTAGGGGAGGATGTGGATCAGGGGAAACTCTCTTCCCCTGTTCTTGGAAGCATGCATTTTTACAACCATGATTGAAAATGATTTGACATCATCTTATACATTTAAAGACACACTGTCCTAAAATTCATAAGGAAGTCAAGAATGAAGAAAAATCAAAGTAATTTTGAAGGAAATGAGTAAGAATTTGCCTTACCAGGTAACATGACATTTATAAAGAATCATATAGATAGATGGATAAATTAAAATATTGTGATATTTGTACAGAAATAAAAGGCAGGATAGAGGAGTTACATACAGATTCCTGTATATATAGGAAATGGTTATGCCATGCCAGGGGTAATTAGTTGTTTGTGGAGAAATAATAATTGTTCTATACAACACACTCATCTCGTGTGTGTATTACACTTATTTAGATCTTACTATTTGTCAGGCACAGATATAAACACTTTTATATATTAAGACATAGTCCTCCTAACAAACCTATGAAAGCAGACTACTCAAAAAATGGTGACTTCAGGGAGTCTTTTGAGAGACTCAAGATAATTTACTAGGTTATTTAAGTACAATGTTGAATATTTGTGGTTCATGAAAAAGCTTAGTGAAAAATTATATTTATGATTCCCTCAAAAAAGAAAAAAAGACCTAAAGAAGTCTTTAAAATAAATACCTTTTCCGCTATAAAAATTATTTCTTCCCTCACCCCCCACATGCACACACACACACTCAAGTGCATGTGCATACACACACACACACAGACAACTTAGTCAACTTTTGTCCAGAATTTTAACATAATATATATAATTCTGTTGAAAATAGGTAAGCAAATGGGAAATTAAGATACCCTTGCAAGTAGGCAAAATTCTGACAATAAACCTTTTGTTTTTTTTTGCTTTTTATGCCAGGTATTTCCTGTAAGTTATCTCAATGTCTGTTCTATTAACATTATCTTGAATCTGTGTTACTTTAAATTAATAAATTCCAGAAACTCTATCATCAGCAATTCACAATCTATTAAAAATAATATAAACAAAATGGGTATAATAAAAATGAATTATCTATGTATATTTTATCATTAATAAGAATCAGAGAGAGGTATTTGGAAGTCAAAGATGGTATGGTGTAAATGGATCCAAATCAGTCAAAGAGAATGTCCTTAGGGAGATACATTTTGATGATTTCTTAAGTGTTTTGGTTGGAATAATCAGCCTGTTTTAAGCAGATGTTAACACTTTAGTAAGGGATCAGATATGAAAAAATCATCTTCCTGGCTAGATTGTGTATGCAAGCAATATTGACTAGGAGTAACTATAGTTATATAGTTAACCAGTGTAGTATAAGATAATAGAGTTCCTTAGTTGCGTTCAAAGAATTGAAATTAAGGTTTTGTATTTCCGCCAGTAGACAAATCTTGTGTTTTCAGGAATCAGATGAGAATTAAATAGGTGCAACCAGGAAGAAGTACATGGGAATTTTCTAAGAAAGAAGCTGGACATGAGGCAAAGATAGAGCATAGTGGTTATAAGAGCACAGGCTCTCAAGACAAATACCTGAACTCAAATCCTGACTACTATTTACTAGATGTGTGACTGAGGGTAAGATTCTTAACCTCCATATCTCAGTTTGCTTAGCAGCAAAAGAGAGAGAGTACTAATAACTATTTCATACTGTTCTTGTGAAAATTAAATGACATAATCTATGTTAAACAATTACAACAATGCTTAGCACATCCTAAGCACTCCACGAATGTTCATTTTTATCATTACTAGCATTTTAGTTCTCCAACGAGTAATGCTGATGAAGGCGGAGACAAAATGATTGCTTTCGCTTGTGAGTATAATCTAACTATAATTCCAGTGAAACACCAACTTTAATGTACACACAAACACACACACACACAAATGCAAGCCAGGAAGAAGTGACAGTCATACAAACGCAGCTGTAAGATCTTAGTAAACATCTTGCCCATAGAAACAGAATGGTAAGGACCAGTTACAGAGGCATAGTTAGCCAAGGACAGTGTTGGGACTTGTCCATGAACCAGAATTATAAGAATTTGGAAGATAATGTTATGAATATTTTTTAAACATATAACAATTTCTGAATTACAATTCCAGTGAGTCATGCTGCACTTATTGCACAGGGGAGTGTAGGGTGTGACACCCATTCACATTCTTGCACATACTCGCTTGCTCACTCACAGGGGATGGGGTGTTTATGGACATAACCTCACTCAAGTCTGTGCTCCTTTTTACAGATTTTTAAACATTATGCAAATGGTCTTCAACTTACCTCAAACTGTGTATTTCACACACTTTCTCTAACCTTCATGTGGCTTCAAGCCCTTCGTCATTATCCCATATTGAACTTGTAGTCAATTAAAGACACTCAATATTTTTCATATGAGCTAGTTGGTCATATCTTCTTCATCTTCAGCTTATAGCTTGAGGGCTTTAGGAAAGGACTTTAAATTTCCCCTTACTATATTTTAGCTTAATGGATTTGATCTATCAGTCTCCAATGTCTGTTGAGACCACACTTTGTCATTGTATTAGTCCATTCTCATGCTGCTAATAAAGTCATACCTGAGAATGGGTAATTTATAAAGGAAAGAGGTTTAATGGACTCAGTTCCATATGGCTGGGGAAGCCTCACAATCATGGCGGAACATGAAGGAAGCGCAAAGAGATGCTTTACATGGCGGCAGGCAGGAGATAGCTTGTGTAGAGGAACTCCCATTTATAAAACCATCAGATCTTGTGAGAATTATTCACTACCATGAGAACAGTATGGGGGAAACTGACCCCATGATTCAATTATCTCCACCTGGCCCTGCCCTTGACAAGTGGGGTTTATTACAGTTCAAGGTGAGGTTTGGGCGGGGACACAGCCAAACCATATCAGTCATCCAACAAAATTTTTATCTGCCTTGGTTTTGGGTCCTCAGTATATCTGGTAATCATGCATTCTACCACTTCATTAAAGCCACTGATGAAAACACTGAAAAGAAAAAGATTGAGGACAGAGCTCTGATGCAAGTCATGACATTAATTAAACAATTAGCATGCTTCAGGTATATACTGTATATCAATAGATAGCAAACTATATTATTCAGCCATGCCAACAGAGTATATAATTAAGGGACCACATATAGTCAGGGAATTCAGAGCATATCCTTTGAACTAAAATGTGAAGATCTGGCTGTAATAGTTCACATTCACTGTAATTGTTCAAATCCAACAGAGCTATAACTTCCTCTGATCATAATATTGTATTTTTAGAGAGCAGACAGGAGTTCTCATAATTGCTTTCTTATACATGTTTCTCATAGCTCTAGTCCTGGCAGATTTGGGGTTATCATGACAGTACTATTTCATGGTCAAATATATTCTGGAAATGCTACCTACTGAGGAATTCAGTTTTGCATTGCATGTTAGCATCACAAAGATTTAGAAAAGTCCTTCAGTGAAGAAGGACTTGTTTGACTATGAAACGCTTGTTCATGAGATACCACTTAACATTCCAGGGAATTGCAGTTGTACAGCATGGAGAGTTAGGGTCTTGTGAAACAAGGTCTAAGACCCAGGGGAGAAGCCCTCAACATTATCGGGCTTAGAACACCATTGTGTATAGGAGCCTAAATCATAGGGGAGAAGAAAGAGAGGCTCAGGCTTCTGTGATGAGCCCTTCTATTGGTTCTCTTCCTCTGAGCTTTGAGTCTCCAGCAGTCCAGTGACCCTCCTCACTGGCTCTCCTGGTCCCTGCAGAAGAGTGTGGAGGACAAGGGGTTCTGGAAAGACAGTAGAGGAATTGTAGTTAGTCCTGGCCCAAACGGAAATTTTCCTGAGTTGAGGCCTCTGGATAGTTCTTCATGACAGAGGACAACAATTAGCTGTGACACACAATGTTTCTAAAAGGTGTGACTCATATAACTTGCTTCTTATTC
This sequence comes from Homo sapiens, assembly GCF_000001405.40. NCBI lineage: Eukaryota > Metazoa > Chordata > Mammalia > Primates > Hominidae > Homo > Homo sapiens. Next base: position 28,939,603 of record NC_000012.12, on the reverse strand, counting down.
CCATGGCTGACTGTGGATTATTCGGAAAGGTGAAGCCAAGGTCACATCATCTATGTTATAGAATGGAATGAAAGAAAGATATCACTCTTACTTTCTGTACTTTCCCTCACTCACTGAAAGTCTTTTTTTCTTTCAGAGTGTTAGAGACAAGGAGAAAGAGAAAAATTGTCTGTATTTTGTTTGTTGGTTTTGCGGCAGAAGGAGCCACTGGGAAGAAACCCAGTGGGTAGAGAGAAACGAGGCTGGCCTCTGCTGTACATAAGCCCAGGCTGATAACTGCACCTTCATTCCCCTCTCCCTGCGTATTCTGGGACTGTGAGATGATGAGAATGTCAAGGCATGATTTCAGTTTTCTGATTACCCAGGGGTTATGTCAGTCAGCCAAACTACAGGCTCTGCCCTGGCCTTCTTGCCCGATAGCTGACCCCGACTTAGCAAGACCACCCTCCTTCCAGCATAAAATCAAATCCTCCGATTTGCTCATCCGTGACTTCTCCCACACACGAAAGAGGCCAAATGTGTTTAATTACCAGAGATTATGTTGTAGTCCAGTGGGCTACCACCCTACAGAGACTCCCGCTGAGATCACAATGTTAATTTCCCTGTCAGAAGTCTGTCCTGATTTTAAGCCATGTTGTCTCGGAATTGAGGAGTTCAAGGTTTTCCCCTTAGCTCAGATATTCGATCTTAGGTCGCTGACGAGACACTTCTGGCAAAAGCAGGAATCATGATTCCAGACTCCCAAACAATAACTTTCATTAAAAGCTCTTCCAATCTCTAAACACATGCGTCCCCCCACCCACTTCTTTGCCTTTCTGTGTTTCCTTCTGTTTTTCTTGGCAGATGTTGGTGTTGGGTAAATATTCCTTTAATGGAGGTGCTTGTCTGTCAGGTCCCATCAAGAGCAAAGGAAATGGCAAGTTAATGAATTCAGGATTGTGTCTGGCAGAAGGTGTGTTCCAGTCCCATGTGGCACCTCTGGCAACAGGTTAAAACAAAACAAAACAAAACATAACAATGGAGTAAAAATGCAGCACTCAGAAACCTGATTTGAAAATGGAATTAAATAATTGTCCAAAATGTAAATGTCCCTAAAGCCATGAGCAAGTGATGAAAGCAGAAGGGAGAGGACCAGAAAGGAGCAATTTCAAAGCAGTCATAGGACAATTAAAAAAAAAAATTTAAAGCAGCAATAAGAGTTTTCCAGAATGAAATTAGTTCAAAACAGTAAAAACATGTTTTTAAGATCTTGCCGTCCATGTGTTGTCTGATGAAGGCGGTAGCAATGAACTGCCTGTAGCAGGGGTATCTTCCCTATACTGCCAGAGCAGCTCCACGCAGGTCCAGGCAAGTCTCCCCTCTGGAGTGTCTCATTCTCTCTAATGCAAAGGCCTGATCATTAAAGAAAATGCAGGATTGTTGGTTGTGTTATTTCAAGTAAGTTTGAACAATTAGTATTTTTCAAATTAAATTATGACCAGTATCCGTGGTCACAATATCCACTTATTTAATGCGGAGGGAAGGCAGGGATATATTATTATATTCTGTTTGTGCAGAAGCAGAATTCAGTATGCACTATAGCAGAGGATAGCATTATGGAGAAGAAAATAAGATTTACTTGGATATTCTTTACTTTATAAACAAAGGAAAAGAGGGAAACTTTGAAATGATATAAAAACTGGAGAAGGAACTAACTCCTTGAACAACGAAAAGGCTATTGATAATGGAACACACATATCAAACATTTGTATAAAAAAATACCCTCAAGGAAGAACAAGTAGAAAGTTATAAAATTGAAAACTGTTGGAGAGTAGAGCTAAGTCAGGGATCTGTTTAGCAGAAAACCTTTCTTTGGAAAAACAGAAAACATTTGAGCACCTTAGTAGAATGGCATGTTGGTCTCCTTGTAAAAAGCAAAAGCATCACTTTCTATCTTAACTCTTCAGGCTGACGGATTAATCATACCTAAAGATGCTGCTGATCAAATATGAGAACCATTTTATTCTTTGTATTTCTACAGAGTGGTAGAAGGTTTTATTGCCTAAGTCATTATCAACAGGTTTTTCTTTGCAAAAGCAATACAATAACAGCAAAAACTACAGATGGGCACAGATCCTCAGTGGTGCAATTAACCTGGATGAGTCCATGTGTTTATCAGGCACTCTCTCGTCTCTGACTTCTCAGCTTACATTCGCAGACACGCTCTCATCCCTGACTTCTCAGCTTACATTTGCACCTCATTCTTCACCACATTCCTCAGTACAGAGTCACTTTAATAAATACTTGCTTAATGAACAATGACTGGGTGAAAAACAGATATTAAATAAAAGTATAATAATATGTAAAGTATCATATTGCTCCAAAATCTTCATCTTCTTTGAAGACTTGAAGGTAAGAAACTGAAGGTAAAATCTCCAAAGAAAGACAATTTGACAATTTGGTTTATTCTCCAAGACATTTCAGAATACTGTCTTTTGAAATGTTGGAGGGAGTCACGTAGAGGATACAGGAGAATCCCTAGGTGCCAATAATAAACTGATGTCAAGACTCACCAATCCAGAGACCAAGACTTTTCCAAGGCCACAGCAAATAGGGTTGACACTGAACATGTATTATGAAAGGATGCCAGAGTCTTGGCATAAGCTCCTCTATCTCGAAGACAAGAAGGATGGGCCTGCCCAAGAATTTTTTCGGAAAGGTTGCCAGGGAACAGCATGGGTGAGGAGAACCCTGACCCTGGAAACAGAAGGGGACTCACTGGGAAACATTATTCCAGGGACAATAAACAACTAGTGAGATTAAAAGGAGAATTTTGAGAACAGAAGAATATCTGTTACTCTTTTTTTCCAAAATCTCACAACCTCTGACCCAAGGACTTAGGGAGAGGGCCTATAACAGGTAGGACTGTATGTAAAAATTGCTGCAAAACATTGGAGTGTAAGGGGATGCTCCTTATGTGCTATTGTAACAAAATAAGTATAAAGGATTTTTTATCCTCCCTTCACTAAAAGGATTATTGGATCATACTGGAAGAAATAATGGTAGAATGGATGGTTATAATGAGAAGTGACAGAAGGCTTCAAGCCACAACTGGCTCTATGAAGACCACATTATTCCACTCTTCAGAATCCTCTGGCCGATTTCCACTGTTCTCCAAATAAGGCTGAAATTCTGCCAAGGGAACAAAAGCCTACACAAAGTGCTCTCCTTCCTCACCAACTCCATCTCCTCCTGCTCTGTCTCCCCCTTTCTGCTCCAGCTACTGTGACCTTCTTGCTGTTTCTCTAGCAAACCAAACCTACCACAGCCTCTGGGCCTCTGCACTGGCTTTCCCTGCTGTCTGGCAGGCTCTGCCCTAGATATGCACCTGGCTTCCTTCCTCATTTCATCCAAGTTTCTGCTTAAATGTTACGTCCTTATAGAGGCCTTTCCTGATTCACCTTATCCAAAATAATTTCCCACTTTTACTCTCCCACACCAGATAGTCTCTATTGCTTTAGTTTTATTCAAAATATTTATTATTACCTAAATCATAACGGTGTGTTTATTTACTTATTGCTTACTTCCTACGAGAACGTAATATCCATGAAACAGGTTTCATGCTTTTCTTTTCTATGCTGAATATTTAGACCCCTAGAACAATGGCTTGCTCATAGTAGTGTCTCAATAAATATTTGTTGAACAAATTGATGAATATCCCAAAATAAGACCTATAAAGACAATGTCCAGATTGGGCTCTACATCACAGAGCCAATATTAGCAGCCAAAGAGTATCTTGACAAAACAACAGTGAGAAGGGAGGGGCGGGGGCATCTAGGGAGCAAGGTCTGGGTATACAAACAACCCAGGCCAGAAACAGAAGAAGGCTCTCCCAGGGGAGAAGAAATGCAGGTTGTGAAAGCAGAAATCTAAGACATTCATTTCAAGAGTGGAAAAAGAGAAGACTATTGACTGGTGATTGTGAGAATAATATTAGGATGACAAGCAACCCAGCTTAGGGCATTCTGGGACCCATGAGGAAGAATTAGAGTTGGGTTAGGTTTCCCTATTTTTTTTTTAAAGAAATGGGGTCTTGCTCTGTCATCCAGGCTGGAGTGAGGGGTACCATCGTAGCTCACTGCAGCCTAGAACTCCTGGGCTCAAATGATCCTTCCACCTCAGCCACCTGAGTAGCTAGGACTTCAGGCATGTGCCACCACACCTGGATAACTTATAATTTTTTTTTTTTTGGTAGAAACATGGTCTTACCATGTTTCCCAGGCCTGCCTTAAACTCCTGGGGCTCAAGTGAACCTCCTGCCTCAGCCTCCCAAGGTGCTGGGATTACAGGTATATGCCACCGTTGCTGCTCCTGGCCTAGGCTTCCCCTCTTCTGACGGTGGGGGCTGAATCAGAATTATGTTGATTGGTTAATAATAGCCCCACTCTGTGCTGAAACCAGTGTGGTCAGGAAGACATGGTCCCTCACAGAAAAATCTCAGGTCCCAACTGTGACACCTTTTTTATTACAATATAGTTCAACAGCGTGATTTGAAGGTTCTTTGAACTACTGTGATTTTATGTCAAGCCGAATGCTGGAAGTTAGTCTATTAAAGCTCTTTACATCGTATTCTAAACATCAAAACATGGTAACCACATTCTAAAAATTTGTTTTTGAGAAATGAGAACCCCTACTGAGCCACATAAGAACATCTACTAGTCTTACTAGCTTGTGGAATCACCTTTGCATACATACTTTAAGACAGCAGAGTAGGGATGGGTCTTCTTGATGTTATTTATCAAACAGCCATCAACAGTGAAGACTCAGGGCACAGCTAAAAATATAAATAAGTTACTTGACACCCCAAATTTGAGACACAAGCAACTAGATATAAATCTCTTTTCTCTATGAAATAAAGTACTGATAAAACCAACAAAAAGGGGACCTGAGAATGAATATTTTCAACCCCATATATTTTCAAATACAATGAATGCATATTTACTCAGAAGAAATTACCTACAGACAAAAGAGCATCTAATTAGCAAATTTTAGTTTTAAAAACATGTTTTAACTTTGGGATGTTTATAGGCAAGTTTGTTTATCTAAAATAAAACACACCGCATTGAATGTCCTAAAGTTACTACAATGTTAATTCATTTAGTACTCGGCCTGACTAACGCGTATCAGTTGAATAAGTCTTGGCAGTATGCAAGTGGAAGAGATTGAAATAGATACTATCATGATTTATAAACAAAAAGGAGACTGACTAATGTTACATGAATCTATTCACACTTGAGAGTGCCAAGGTTTTTAAGTTACAGTGCCAATCTCCATGATAGTGAAATAATAGACACAAACTGCCCTGGGTTTCATTCACCCATATAAATGAGGTGGGATCTCTGCAGGTGCAGGTGTGCGCGGCAGGAGTACACATATGCCCACAATATCAGATTCTCACTCCGCCCATGCAGGTGAGGTGTGGAACGACAGAAATATTTTGGATGCTCTCCTCAAAACTGATGGAACACAGACCCAGGAAAAGGCCTCCATCACCACAATGTAACCATTCCATGTAGAGGCATGTAATTGGGATGGGCTCTGGAAGTGGATTTGAAGTAAATGTTAGTGATTCATCCAGGACTGTAATTTCTAATTTAGGAGAAACACAGGTGCCTGAGTTTATAACAGATCTCTCTTCTGAAACCTCCAGCTATGCACTGCTGATTTGTTACAATGGTAGAGGTCCTGAAATGTTCTCTTTAAAATATAGATGACTTGGAGAAGGGGCTGATTCTAAAATTGGGGCAGGAAAAATCCAAGATGAGCTCAGATCATCTTGTATCACAAGTACGTAAGGTAGTACACAAGTATTGGATCATCTATATTATTAATAAGTGTCCCAGGTGATGCTAAGCTCATCAGTTCTGAACCCTATTTTGACAAGACTGCCTTAGAAAAACCACCACAACATTTTATCTTTCAGTAAATGGTTGAGGGATATGAAATGGTGGTGTTTCCCAGGTTAAAGTCAGATTAACTGCACTACCAAGCAGTTTCTAAAGTACATCTGCCCTTAAGTTGAGTTGACTTGCATTATTTATGGACCATTTAGACAAAATTGATGTTTCTTATAGTTTATCAAACTACTGAGTGTTTCTCAGGGTAAGGAATGTGCTACCAAGATAAATAATGGAGGCCACAGAGCATTAGCTATGGTCTATATAGAAGCATAACCCAACCTCCCTGACAGCTATAACCCTACCCTATAAAGCAAAGGGAGCGAGTGAGCTCACCCAGCCTTTCCTTCCCTCTATTGTTGAATTTCCTCTTTTGCTGGTTCTGATATTTTCCTTTTTCATGGATTATTCTTTCATTTTAGTAAAGCATATCCACTAAAAGTCTCTTGAGAAAAAAAATGCATGGGAGGTAAGTAATTTGCAAACTTCCATGTCTGAAAATGATTTCACTTGTATCCACATATTTGATTGATAGTTGAAGTATCAAATATTTTAAGATAAAATAATTTAACTAAAGTTTAAAACTTTCCCGACAATGTTTAGTGCCTTGCCTTGCCATCTTTCATCTATCAGTTTTGCTGGACAATAAGCCATGCTTATTTTCTACTTTCTCCTTTCTTTATAGCTCATTCCTTTCTCTGAAAGTCTTTAGGATCTTCTTTTTGTCCCAGGTATTCTATAATGCATGTTGTTATGTGCTTGGCTGTTGGTATTTTCCACTCATTTAGCTGGAATCTCATGTTATTTTGTTCTGGGAAGCTTTCTCCTATTTTTAAAACATAATTTACTGTCTTCTATTTTTCTGGTCCTTTTTTGGGATTCCTGGTCATTAGATATTGAGTCTCTTGATTTGATGATACAGGAGTTCTCATAGCTTATCTCATGGGACACATATGGTTCCTGTCTATAAGGAGTTCACATATGTTCAATTTTTTTTTCTCTGTCACCCAGGCTGCAGTGCAATGGTAATGGTGTGGTCTCGGCTCACTGCAACCTCTACCTCCCTGGTTCAAGCGATTCTCCTGCCTCAGCCTCCTGAGTAGCTGAGACTACAGGTGCATGCCACCACACTTGGCCAATTTTTGTATTTTTAGTAGAGAGGGGATTTCACTATTTTGGCCAGGCTGGTCTTGAACTCCTGACCTCGTGATCTGACCGCCTCGGCCACCCAAAGTGCTGGGATTTTATAGGCGTGAACCACTGCACCTGGCCAGTCATCTTTTCTATTATTATATTTATGAGTCTTCTTAGAAATTTATGTCCTTGATAGTTGTCCAACAAATGTTAACCTTAGTTCAGCTTTAGTCAATGTGGATTGTTTTTTCTTTCTTTCTTTCTTCTTCTTTTTTTTTTTTTTAACCAGGAAACTGATGTTGGAGAGAAAAAGAATGTTTGACTTAATGATCTTGGTGGGGTCCTTTTCATAGCAATTCAATTGTTAGAGTTCATCTAGATGTAATCTTAGTCTTAAATCAGTTTCCTGGTAACTGGGTGAAGACTCATTTAGTGTCAACAGCATGCTTAAATGATCCTAGCGGCATTATTTCAAGCTCTCATGTATTTCACTTGGTAACCATTAGAAGAATCAATCAGTCCTTGGCTTATCAAATGAGATTAATTATGGCCAAAAATGAGACCACAGTGAAGTCAACTAAGCATCAGCTTTAAAAGTGTTGTTTCTAAAGGCAATAGCTAGCTTTGCTCTTTGAATATTGGACAACTTCAGAGTCAGGCATTTGAAATGCCAAATTTTAAATACATGTGTGTAGTGGTGTTGACTTCCCAACATAATGCTAAATATGGTTCATTTTCACTTTCTTGATATTTTGACCTCTAGTGTAGACTACACCATCTTCCTGTGTTACACATAGACTAGGCTAGGGTTTGCCTTCAACCGTTCATTATCTTGATGTCTTCTTGGGAAACTTTGGGATATTAAGCCACTTCAGATGGGTTTGACTATATTTGCTATAGCATCAGAAGGTGCTATTACCTATCATTCTTTTTTTTTTTTTTTTTTTTGAGACAAAGTCTTGCTTTGTCACCCAGGCTGGAGTGCAGTGGCCCGATCTTGGCTCACTGCACCCTGTGCCTCCCAGGTTCAAGCGATTCTCCTGCCTCAGCCTCCCAAGTAGCTGGGATTACAGGTGTACACCACTACTCCTGGCTAATTTTTGAATTGTTAGTAAAGACGGGGTTTTGCCATGTTGACTAGGCTGGTCTCAAACTCCTGAACTCAGGGGACCCACCCACCTCGGCCTCCCAAAGTGCTGGGATTAGAGACATGAGCTGCCACACCCGGTCCTACCTATCATTCTTTTTTGATTTTTTAACATATCTTTCATGATTACTATCATGCCTAAAATCATCTTCTCTGGATATCTCATATGTTCCTTTCTTCCTAAATGTTGATTATTTTAGGTATCCCTGGGCCTAAGTTGCAATAAAATTTTCTGGAAGGCAGGCAATATGTACTATTGTTATAATGCCATTCAGTAATATCTGCTTTATCATTTATTTTCATTTCATTTTCATTCCTTTTTTCTTTTTTTGTCTTCTTGTAATACGGCCTAGTGGAACTAGCACGGACTTGAGAATCAGACAGACTTGGATTCATGAATCTACCACTTGTCCTGGCTTTGTGACCTTGATTGGGCTAACTAATCTTTCTAAGCTTAAAGCTTTAAAAGTGACCAAATATGCTGATTTTGCAAAACTGTTACCATGATTACATAATAAAATGAATCTCATCTTACTAATATGTAATTAACATGTGTAATTTTGAATAACATGATTCTACTAATTAGGGTGTTTTTCAAACCTTGTTGTTCACCAAAATCACCTGAGACACTTACAAAAAAATACAAATGCCCAAGCCTCAGTGATTCTGACTTGATCAATCTGGGATAGGGCCCAGACAGTTGTAATTTTTAAAGGTCGTAGGTAATCCTAATGTATAGCCAGCACTGAAAACTATCTGATGAGAATTCAGTGAATGACAGCAATCATCATTCTAAGATGATGATGAAAAACTTCTTAGGAAACATACAATGGTGACAATTCTTAAGCCACCACAGGGAAGATGAGAATCTATGGGCTACAAAAATAATCACCTTATTTTCACATACCTGTATGATTTGCAGTGCTAGAGAAAGAGTCATATGGGGTTTTCCTTGTTTCCTCTATACCTACAAAGACCCTTGAACATGGCTTTATAGATCCTGGAGAATAAGTAGACACCAGTTGTCTTAATACCAGCAAGATTTAAAAGAAACATATATTTTAAAGTAGTTATTACTCAGGCATACTCCACCTATCCTCATATATAAAATTTGATGTGAAATTAAAGAAAAAAATCCCTTGAAATAAGTCAAATAACTATTAAATGTAAATGTACAGATATGCTGAAATTTTTTAAAAAATTATTTCTTTATAAAATTTCAAAAGGGAAACAAGTTTGGAAAACTTTAATATGGGTACTAAAGAAAGTTTTAACCTATTTTAAGATAAACAAAAGTCAAAAGTTTTTCATCATCTTATTTGGAAGAACATGCACAATTATGGTTTTTGCTTTCAGTCTAAAACAACCCATAAATCTCATAGCAGTTTGTTACTAGTATTGAGGGATCCATAATTAAGTTATTCCACACTTAAAAGGTAACTCTAGAAAGTAAGTCAAAATAAACATTTTAGCATGCTAACAAAACCAGAATAGGGGTAAGGCCACCAGGGAAGAATAATGGCCTGACTTCTTTTGCAGCTTGTCCAGAGGTCTGAATACAAGGAACATTAATATACCCTATTATGTCAAAAGTAAATAACATTATTATTCTATTACTGATCATAATTTTTCATTGCACTGGAAGAGGCTGTATAAACAACAAAAATAACCACTTAAAGGAAATAGTGCAATGTTTGGAAATGTAAGATAGAAAATTTGCAATAGAATATTTGTTCCAGAATATTTATATAAAGACGCATCAAAGGATAATGGTATATCCTGGTGGTTTTTCCCATGAAACGGAACTAACATGGTATTAACATATTTTATACTATTACAGAACACCAAACAGTTGCTAGGCACTGTGATAAGTGCATCATCTTATTCAATTTAATTTTGACTCATAATAACTTAAACATTATTATCTTTGTTTTACCATTGAGGAAACTGAGCTCAAAGAGATTAGGTCCTTGCTATTCAAAGTGTGGTCCACCACCAGCAGCAGCAACAGCAAAGGCATTGCCTGGGTACCTAAAAGAAATGGTGCAAGGATAGGCTTTTCCCCAGAACTCTTGGTTGGCATTAACAGTTTAAGGAGATCTCCAAGTGATTCTTATGTGAGAGTAGCACTGGTATAAGTGAGTTGCCCAAGGTCATGCAATTAGCTGCCTCTGAATTTAGCTTAGTCACTGTTGATATAAGGCAGGCTCTAAAATGTGTACCCTAGGAAGTAAATGATACGTGCTATTTTTTATGAAGGTAAGGCTGTGAAAATGAGTATCGTGCAGGGCACTCATAGGTCAACCCAGAATGAAGGAGGATAACAAGGGTTGTGTACTCCACAGGTATGAGTGTGAGATGCATCCCTCTGCATTCACAGCAATGGGGGTCTTCTGCCCTGACTCTAAGGAACAAATTCCATCAGCTTCTCCAACTACCCAAAGTGTCCACGCCTCAAAGTTTCCATCCCCTCTCCACTCCATACACAGGCATAAGAGCATTATCTTTGATGGGGTCAGGGGAGGAAATGCTCCACTTTCCCCTTGCTGTCATTGTCATCACCATCTCTGACTGTCCTCTGAGCGTGGGAGTTAGCTCACGTTCCTATAATGAAGTCCCTCATAGAACAGCAACACTTGTGGGATTCCCTAACAATTGAAGATATTTCTTATTATAGTTCTCCAACTTTTTGTAGAGGTAAAGCCCCCTCATTTATGTCTGGGAATCCCTATGGGTATCTCATGTGTGTTCAGTTAAGTCCTGTCAGCTACCACTTGGTACCCTCTGTTTTTCTCTCCCACCTCTGCCTGCACAATTTTCCTATTTCCAAATCCCTTCACTGTATCCACAGACACTGCTCTTCAGGCACTCACAACTGTGGCTTTTCCTGAGAACTTCTCTGCCACCAGGCAGCCACCAACACAGTAATCCTGGAAGTGCTTTGGAGATCAAGGCTGCTATAACTTGTGCAGCATGCAGGAAGAAAGGCACTGTCCCTTCGGGGACATCACTGGGGAACTCATAGCAAAGCCCAATTCACATGACCAACTCAGCCCTCTCATCTCTCAACTAAGTCTTCACTACTGGGCCAGGCTCCTCTGCCCAGTGCTCTCTTGTGCTACACTGTCTGTCTACATCTCTGTATATGGTGGCTTTGTGCAGTACTTAGTTCAGAGATGCCCAATGAACACTGACTGTTTTGAATGGATGAACAATTTCTCTCCATAGTTACTCATACAAATTCTGGCAGGCCTGGCCACCAAGTCACCAGACACACTGAGGCATGTCTTAGCTACCTCAGTGAAGACAGCTCTCACTGAGGAGCCCTTCCGTTAATAAAAAGGATGGATTCTGAAGAGATTGGTGCTGTTAAAAATTAGAAAGGAGACACTACTGCAGTCATTATTCTCTCTGAATGCCCGTGTGACAATGGGGTGTTCTCTTCCTCTCTCACCTGCAGGCCTTGTAACCTGAACTCCTTCGTCTCATTTCCAAAGGCTGCCTCTTCTCCTGAGTGGCTTCACTTGGGATTTAAAACCTGCATGAAGTCAAGGCTCAGACCTGGCTTCCTTGGCTCCCACTCAGATCATATGGCCAAGTGGGAGTGATCAAGACTGTGGGCTCCTCACCTGAGGCCTGTTTCTGTTGCATCCCAGCCATCTCCTTGTTGCAGCTGCCCATTACCCAATACCAAGAAGAGAGGACTTCTCCCAGTGACACTCACCCAGTGTCACCTTTGTCCACAAATATCTAGTCTTGTGGAACATGTGGATTAAAATACCAATGAATTCTTGTCTGTTTGGGTTCATGTTTTTCTATTAGGACAAGGAATATATAACCAGAGACTAAAACTAAGTGCTGTAAAATTAGTGGTAACATTTTGTTTAATCCCGAGAGACACTTTGTGAGTAAAAACGTTTGTTAGGTGAAGAAACTGAGAATGAGCCAAATTTGTTAATAAGTTAGCTTGCTAAGAAGTAACACAGTTAATAAGGGTTATAGGCTGATTAAAATTCCTATCTGGCTGCCTCCTCCATATGTGCTCAGAGTCTTTGGACAAGTGTGGATGCTGAGTTAAGGGAGTGAGGATCTCTATTCCCAGTGAAGCATCCTTGTGAGAGCATACACGCATCCTCAGCCAAGACAGAATCAGTGGCTCTAGGGTTAAATGGCCTTAAGTGAGGGAAACAATGGATGTGGTGTTACTTAGGTTTGTCCCTCATTGCATTGATAGAAGCTGTTAAGCACGTTCAGTTACAGATTGATGTACAGTAATTCCGACAAAAATGCTCAACAGCATCGACTGTGGACAGTAGTCCAAGATGGTGTTCAACTGTCTCTACATAACTGTCAGCAAGAGACTCAGAAAAATAATGTGGGCCCTGGTGTCCCTCTACACACTGCTGATTAAGCGATACCTGAGACTGGGAAGAAAAAAGAGGTTTAATTGAACTTACAGTTCCACATGGCTGGGGAGGCCTCAGAATCACGGCGGTTGGCAAAAGGCACTACTTACATGACGGTGGCAAGAGAAAATGAGGGAGAAGCAAAAGCAGAAACCCTTGATAAACCCATCAGATCTCATGAGACTTATTCGCTATCATGAGAATAGCATGGGAAAGAACTGCCCCCATGATTCAATTACCTCCCCCTGGGTCCCTCCCACAACACAGGGTAATTCTGGGAGATACAATTCAAGTCGAGATTTGGGTGGGGACACAGCCAAACCGTATCACCTGGGAATGGTGATGTCAGGAAAATGTGCTGCCACTGCCAGTGGGAGGCCATGCCAACAAAGGCCACCATCATTGTGACCCAGTGTTGAGACTTGCACTGGAATCTATTTCCAACAATAGTTATTTCCACCAAGAACCATTTCTTCTCTAGAGGTTACATGGAGGCCACCCACTGGCACAACTCTGGAAGAAAGTCCAAGGCCACTCTTGGGAACCCAGATAACATGTAGCCTGGGGAGACCTGGCTCCCTTCACTATTCCCAGGCTGGGTCACATTTGCCAGGATAGAGTTTGTTGATCTTTGAGGAAACTCTTCACTGAGGATGAATAACAAATTCCCCCATGAAAACCTGGCAGGATTAGAGGCAATGAAACTTGATGTTTGGGGAGCCTTCTGCAGAGAATTACAGTTATGACTGGGTTCCTTGGCTGGGAAGCGCTTGGAGAGGGAGGGTTACATGTTATCATTTACCATTTGCTTTGGGACATCTGGTCAGCAGCTGTTGACAGAAGACTCTCTGAAACTTTGAAGGTCATCACCATCACTGAGCAATGATTTTTTTTTTTTCTCTAAAGCTGATCTTATTCTTCTGGCATTTCCACTTTTCTCACTCCTATTTTTGAGGTTTAACCTAATTTCCTCCTGAAATTTCTGGATGTTTCTCTGAGGCTCTCGCCTTGCTCTTTATTTCCAAACACTTTTTTGGGAGTTCTATTTACATGACTTTGCTTAAACGTTTCCAGACTCCTCTCAATCAACTGTGTCTGCCCATCAGCACAGGCCATTCTTTCATCATTTCATTCCTGTTGGGTCTTGTCTTGCAGTCCCCTAAATGTTCCCTTCCTGCCCCTACCACCAAAACATGTCACTCTTCACTCTCACACAAAAACACCCTTAGCAATGTTTACATATAATAAGCTACCTTTTTCCAGTGCTTGAGAAATTCTCAAGGAAAAACTTTGTCACTTGTGGAGGCTTCTTTAAACTCTATCATTCTGCTGATTTTCCAGGTAATTACTGCTAACTGCAATGCCTGTGGGCTAAGAGCAGCCTTGGATTACCTTGTCTTTACCTTCTCCAAGCAAGCCAAGAACACTCCCATGGCACTAGTCAGAGTTTCTGAGGGTGGGAGGTCACTGCTAATTCTTCCCTCACTGAAAATGTCCCACAAAGTGTTGTTTGTCCCACAGGCTTGGTGTGAAGACTAAATGACATAATGATATAATAAATACAGTGCTTTACTCAACCCAACACAACTTCTGGCCATCATCCTTCCATTCGCATTATATGTCTTTGATGCAAAGGATTTTGGAATTCCTTTCAAGTCATCATTTTCATTCTCACATACTTCTCTTGTGATCAAGTGGCCCCACACAGCTGATTCTTAGGAAATTTGTGAACTTGGAGTCTTTGCAAAGGCTTTACCTTATGTGTATAGATTATTTTTTTCTAATGAATTGTGTTTCTTTACTGGTATGAATAGTATTAAAGTTGCTGAAGTTTTCTTTTCCTAGTTCCTTTTTCCTTTTCTTACACAGAGAATTTGCTTGAAATACATAATAAATTCTCAATATGGGGCACACTTCTCCACTACATTCTCAGATGAAGATGATGTGAGAACTTTCGTTAATTTTTTTTGGTAAAATAGTCTCAGTGATTTCTTTTTAACCTAAAAGTCTTTTCTCATTACTATTGATGAAATGTTGTAAACATCATTTCCTATCTTGTTCAGCCTCGCCTTCTTAGGTAAGAGTAAAAAGGCTATAGTCATTCATGTTTAATGCTGACATGTTTTATTGAAGATAATCTACACCAACATGTATTAATTCTTCTTTTTTTCCTCATTTTAAAGTTAGAAATGGAAAATATCCTCTAAACTTAATCAGCAACTGAAGATACACCATAAAAAGATGTATAGATAGCTTTTATTACCTTGAGGTATGTCCCTTGTATGCCGATTTTGCTGAGGGTTTTAATCATAAAGGGATGCTGGACTTTATGAAATGCTTTTTCTGTGACTATTGAAATGACCATGCGATTTTGGTTTTTAATTCTGTTTATGTGGTGTATCACATTTATTGATTTGCATATGTTAAACCATCCCTGCATCCCTGGTATGAAACGCACTTGATCATGGTGGATTATCTTTTCTATATGCTGTTGGATTTGGTTAGCTAGTATTTTGTTGAGGATTTATGAATCTATGTTCATTAGTGATATTGGTCTGTAGTTTTATTTTTTGTTATGTCCTTTTGGTTTTGGTTTTAGGGTGACACTGGTTTTATAGTATGATTTAGGGAAGATTTCCTCTTTCTCTATCCTGTGGAATAGTGTCAACAGAATTGGTACCAATTCTTCTTTGAATGTCTGATAGAATTCAGTGGTGAATCGGTCTGGTCCTGGATTTTTTTTTGTTGTTGGCAATTTTTTTATCACCATTTCAATCTCGCTGGTTATTATTGGTCTGTTCAGTTTCTGTATCTTCGTGGTTTAATCTAAGAGGGTTGTATCTTTCCAGGAATTTATCCATCTCTTCTAGGTTTTCTAGTTTATGCACATAAAGGTGTTCATAGCAGCCTTGAATAATCTTTTGTATTTCTGTGGTATCAGTAGTAATATCTCCCATTTCATTTCTAATTCAGCTTACTTGGATCTTCTGTCTTCTTTTCTTGGCTAATCTCACTAATGGTCTATCAATTTTATTTATCTTTTCAATGAATGAGTTTTTGTTTCATTTATCTTTTGTATTTTTGTTGTTGTTGTTTCAATTTCATTTAGTTCTTCTCTGATCTTCATTATTTCTTTTCTTCTGCTGGGTTTGGGTTTGGATTGTTTTTGTTTCTTCAGTTCCATGAGGTGTGACCTTAGATTGTCTATTCATGCTCTTTCAGACTTTTTGATGTAGGCATTTAATGCTATGAACTTTCTACTTAGCACCATTTTGCTATATCCCAGAGGTTGTGATAGGTTGTATCACTATTATTGTTCAGTTCAAATATTTTTTTAATTTCCATCTTGATTTTATTGTTGACCCAGTGATCATTCAGGAGCAGGTTATTTAATTTCCATGTATTTGCATGGTTTTGAGGGTTCCTTTTGGTGTTGATTTCCAATTTTATTCCACTGTGGTCTGAGAGAGTACTTGATATAATTTCAGTTTTCTTAAATTTACTAAGACTTGTTTTGTGGTCTGTCATATGGTCTATCTTGGAGAATGTTCCATGTGCTGATGAATAGAATGTATATTCTGCAGTTGTTGGGTAGAATATTCTGTAAATATCTGTTAAGTCCATTTGTTGTAGGGTACAGTTTAAGTCCATTGTTTCTTTGTTGACTTTCTGTCTTGATGACCTGTCTAGTGCTGTCAGTGGTGTATTGAAGTCCCCCACTACTATTGTGTTTCTATCTCATTTCTTAGGTCTAGTAGTAATTGTTTTATAAATTTGGGAGCTCCAGTGTTAGGTGCATATATATATATATGTATATGATTGTGATATTTTCCTGTTGGACCAGTCCTTTTATCATTATATAATGTCCCTCTATGTCTTTTTAAATGGCTGTTGCTTTAAAGTTTGTTTTGTCTGATATAAGAATAGCTACTCCTGCTCACTTTTGGTGTCCATTTGCATGGAATATCTTTTTCCATCACTTTATCTTAAGTTTATGGGGATCATTATGTGTTAGGTGAGTCCCCTGAAGACAGTAGAAACTTGGTTGGTGAATTCTTGTCCATTCTGCTATTTAGTCTCTCTCTCTTTTTTTTTTTTTCGAGATGGAATCTCGGTCTCTGGTCAGGCTGGACTGCAGTGGCGCGATCTTGGCTCACTACAACCTCTGCCTCCTGGGTTCAAGTGATTCTCCTGCCTCAGCCTCCTGAGTATCTGGGACTACAGGCACGCACCACCACGTCCAGCTCATTTTTGTATTTTGAGTAGAGACAGGGTTTCACCATGTTGGCCAGAATGGTCTCCATCTCTTGACCTCATGGTCCTCTCGCCTCGGCCTCCCAAAGAGCTGGGATTACAGGTGTGAGTCTCCACACCCAGCCTATTCCATATCTTTTAAGTGGAACATTTAGGTCATTTACATTCAATGTTAGTATTGAAATGTGAGGTGTTATTCTATTTATCATGCTCTTTGTTGCCTGAATAACTTGGTTTTTTCATTGTGTTATTGTTATGTAGGTCCTGTGACATTTATGCTTTAAGGGGGTTCCATTTTGGTGTATGTTGAGGATTTGTTTCAAGATTTTGGGCTCTTTTTAGCAGTTTTTGTAGTGCTGACTTGATAGTGGCAAATTCTCTCAGTATTTGTTTTTCTAGAAAAGACCATATCTTTTCTTTATGTATTAAGCTTAGTTTTGCTGGATTCACAATTCTTGGCTAATAATTGTTTTGTTTAAGGAAGCTAAAAATAGAACCCCAATTCCTTCTAGCTTGTAGGGTTTCTGCTGAGAAGTCTTCTGTTAATCTGATTAAGTTTTCCTTTATAGGTTACCTGACGCTTTTGCCTCACAGCTCTTAAGATTCTTTCCTTCATGTTGACTTTAGATAACCTGATGACTATGTGCCTAGGCTATAATCTTTTTGTGATGAATTTCCCAGGTGTTCTTTGAGCTTCTTGTATTTGGATGCCCTAGATCTCTAGCAAGGCTGGGAAAATTTTGAATTATTCCCTCAAATATTTTTTCCAAACTTTTAAATTTCTCTTCCTCCTCAGGAACACCAATTATTCTTAGATTTGGATGCTTAACATAGTTCCAAACTTTTTGAAGGCTTTGTTCATTTTTAAAAATTCTTTTTGCTTTGTCTTCGATGGATTGTGTTAATTCAAAAGCTTTGTCTTCAACTCTGAAGTTCTTTCTTCTGTTTGTTTGATTTTGTTGCTGAGACATTCCAGTGAATTTTGCATTTCTCTAAGTGTGTCTTTGATTTCCAGAAGTTGTGATAATTTTTATTTATGCTATCTCTTTCACTGAAGAATTTTCCTTTCATATTGTGTATCATGTTTTGATTTCTTTAAGTCAGACTTCACCTTACATCTTGTAGTCCCCAGTGCTTATTGTTCCCATCTTTATATCCATGTGTACCTGATGTTTAGCCCTCACTTATAAGTGAGAACACGTGGTATTTAGTTTAATGTTTCTGTGCACAGTAACTTAAGAAAATGGCCTCCAGCTGCATCCATGTTACTGTAAAGTACATTATTTCATTCTTTTTTATGGCTGTATAGTATTCCACGGTGTATATGCGCCACATTTTCTTTATCCAATCCACTGTTGATGAGCACCTAAGTTGATTCCATGTCTTTGATATTATGAATAGCACTGTGGTAAACATATGGATGCATGTGTCTTTTGGGTGGAATGATTTATTTTCCTTTGGGTATATACTGAGTAATAGGATTGCTGAGTCAAAAGGTAGTTCTATTTTCAGTTCTTTGAGAAATCTTCAAACTGCTTTCCACACTGGCTGAACTAATTTATATTCCCACCAGCAGTGTATAAGTGTTCCCTTTTCAATGCAACCAGGCCAGCATCTGTTATTTTTTGACTGTTTAGTAAAGCCTTTCTGACTGGTGTGAGATGAGATCTCATTGTGGTCTTGATTTGCATTTCTCTGATGATTAGTGACGTGGAACATTTTTTCCTGTATTTGTTGGTTGCTTGTATGTCTTCTTTTGAGAAGTATCCGTTTGTGTCCTTTGCTCATATTTCAGTGGTGTTGTTTTCTGCTAGTTCATTTATTTAAGTTTTTTACAGATTTTGTGTATTAGACATTTGTTGAATGCATAGTTTGTATTTTATTCCATTCTGTATGTTGTCTATTGATTGATAGTTTCTTTTGCTGTGCAGAAGCTCTTTAGTTTAATTAGGTCCACTTGTGAATTTTTGTTTTTGTTGCAATTGCTTTTGAGGACTTAGCCATAAATTCTTTGCCAAGACCAATGTTGAGAAGGGTATTTCCTAGGTTTCCTTCTAGAATTTCTGTAGTTTGAGGTCTTACATTTAAATCTTTAATTCATCTTGAGCTAATTTTTGTGTATGGTGATAGGTAGTGGTCCAGTTTCATTCTTCAATACATGGATAATCACTTCTCACAGCACTATTTATTGAATAGGGAATCTTTTTCCCATTGCTTATTTTTGTCAGCTTTGTCAAAGATCAGATTGTTGTAGGTATATGGCTTTATTTCTGAGTTCTCTGTTCTGTTTTATTCGTCTATGTGTCTGGTTTTGTACCAATACCATGCTATTTTGGTGACTGTAGCCTTGTGGTATAGTTTGAAGTTGGGTAATGGGATTGCTCTGACTTTGTTCTTTTTGTTTAGGATTCTTTGGGCTATAAGCTCTTTTTTGGTTCATGTGAATTTTAGAATAATTTTTTTCTGAATCTGTGAAAAATGACATTTGTAGTTTGATAGGAATAGGGCCGAATCTGTAGATTGCTTTTAACAGTATGACCATTTTAATGATATTGATTGATATGGTTAGGCTTTGTGTGCCCACCCAAATCTCATCTTGAATTATAATCCTCATAATCTCCATAATCGCCATGTGTCAAGGGAGAGATTGGGTGGAGGTAATTGAATCATGGAGGTGGCTCCCCCATGCTATTCTCATGATAGTGAGTAAATTCTCATGAGATCTGATGGTTTTATAAGAGGCTCTTCTCCCTTCACTCAGCACTTCTCCTTCCTGCTGCCTTGTGAAGAAGGTGCCTTGCTTCCCCTTTGGCTTCTGCCATAATTGTAAGTTTCCTGAGGCCTCCCCAGCCATGCTGAACTGTTAGTCAATTAAACCTCTTTCCTTTATAAATTACCCAGTCTCAGGCAGTTCTTTATAGCAATATAAAAACAGACTAATACATCGATTCTTCCAATCCATGAGAATGGAATGTTTTTCCATTTGGTTGTGTCATTTCTGATTTCCTTCAGCAGTATTTTGTAGTTCTTCTTGTAGAGACCTTTTAACTCCTTAGTTAGACGTATTTATAGGTACTTTTAGGCTATTGTAAATAGGATTGCACTGTTTATTTGGATCTCAGCTTGAACGCAATTGGTATCTAGAAATGCTACCAATTTTTGTACATCAATCTTGTATCCTGAAACTTTACTGTAGTCTTTTATCAGTTCTTGGAGACTTTCAGTGGAGACTTTAGGCTTGTCTATGTATAGAATCATATTAGTGAAGAGAGATGGTTTGACTTCTCCTTTTCCATTTGAATGACTTTTATTTATTTCTCTTGCCTAATTTCTCTTGCTAGAACTTCCAGTACTACCTTGAATAGGAATTTTGAGAGTGGGATTATTGTCCAGGTCCAGTTCTCAAGGGGAATGCTTTCAGCTTTTGCCCATTCAGTATAATGTTGGTTGTGGTTTGTCACAGATGGCTCTAATTATTTTGGGGTATTTTCTTTGTATGCTGAATTTGGTGAGGATTTTTATTATTAAGGTATGTTGGCTTTTATCTAAAGCTTTTCTGTATCTATTGAGATGATGATGTAGTTTTTGTTTTTGATTCTGTTTATTTGGTGAGTCACATATTGATTTGCATATATTGAACCAAATTTGCATCCCAGGAATAAAACCTACTTGATTGTGATGAATTAACTTTTTGATCTGCTGCTGGATATAGTTTGCTAGTATTTTGTTGAAGGATTTTTTTATGTCTGTGTTCATCAGAGATATTGGCCTGTAATTTTCTTTTTTGTATCTTTGCCAGATTTTGGTATCAGAGTGATGCTGGCTTCATACAATGAGTTAGGGAGGGGTCCTTTCTCCTCAATTTTTTAGGTTTCAGTAGGATTGGTACCAGCTCCTCTTTGCAGATATGGTAGAATTGGGCTATGAATCCATCTGATCTAGGGCTTTTTTGGTTGGTGTTTTTATTTATTTATTTATTTATTTATTTATTTATTGAGATGGAACCTCACTTTGTCACCCAGAATGGAGTAGAGTGGCATCATCTTGGCTCACTGCAACCTCCACCTCCTGGGTTCAAGTGATTCTCCTGCCTCAGCCTCCTGAGTAGTTGGGATTACAGGAATGCACCACCATGGCTGGCTAATTTTTAGTATTTTTAGTAGAGATAGAGTTTCACCTTATTGACCAGGTTAGTCTCGAACTCCTGACCTCGTGATCCACCCATCTCAGCCTTCTGAAGTGCTGGGATTACAGGCATGAGCCACAACAAGCAGCCGTTGGTATGTTTTTTATGACTGATTCAATTTTGGAGCTAATTAATGATTTATTCATGATTTCAATTTCTTCCTTTCTCAATCTTGAAAGATTCTGTGTTTCCAGGAAATTATTCATTTCCTCTAGATTTTCTAGTTTGTATGCATAGAGGTATTCATAATAGTCTCTGGGGATATTTTGTATTTCTGTGAGGTCAGTTGTAACATCGCCCTTGTCATTTCTGATTGTGCTTATTTGGATCTTCTCTCTTTATTTGTTCATCTAGTTAGCGATATATTAACCTATTTTATCCTTTAAAAGAACCAACTTTAGGTTCCGTTGATCATTTGTATGAATTTTGGGGTTCGAATTTTTTTCATTTCTGCTCTAATTTTAGGTATTTCTTCTCTTCTATTATGTTTGGGGTTAGTTTTTCTTGTTCTAGTTCCCCTAGGTGTTATATTAGATTGTTAATTTGATATCTTTCTAACTTTTGATTTAGGTAATTAGTACTATAAGCTTTCCTCTTAACACTGTTTTTTTTTTCTGCATCCCAGAGATGTTAGTATATTGTATCTCCGTTTTCATTTATTTCGAACATTTTTCAAATTTCTGCCTTAATTTCGTTGTTTACCCAAAAGTCATCCAGGAGCAAGTTGTTTAATTTCCATGTAATTGTGTGGTTTTTACAGATCATCTTGGTATTGGTCTTTGTTATTATTCTACTGTGGTCTGAGTGTATGCTTGGTATAATTTCGATTTTTTTGAACGTATTGAGACTTGCTTTATGGCTGAGCATGTGGTCAATCTTACAGATTGTTCCATTCGTAGATGAAAATAATGTATATTCTATGGTTGTTGGGTGGATTACTCTGTAGATATTTAGTTTAATTTTTCTGCTACAACAATCTATCTTATGCTGTCAGATGGGTATTGAAGTCCCCCACCAATATTGTGTGGCTGTCTAAACCTTTTCATAGGTCTAGATACTTGTTTTATTAATCTGAGTGCTCCATTGTTGGGTGCATATACATGTGGGATATTTATGTCTTCTTGTTGAATTGAACACTTTATCATTATGTAATTTCCCTTCTTTACCCGTTTTTACTGTTGTTGGTTTAAAGTATTTTTTTCCCCGATATAAGAATAGCAACCTCTGCTCGTTTTTGTTTTTTGTTTTCACATGTTACAACACCCATAGTGTCAAAGTAAAGTCTCCCCTTACTTTGAGGATATGGGTGTTGTAACGTGTGAGATAGGTCTCTTGAAGACAGCAGAGGATTGGGTCTCATTTATTCATTCAATTTGCCACTCCGTGTCTTTTAATTGGGGTGTTTAGACCATTTACCCTCAAGGTTAATATTGATATGTAAGGTTTTGCTCCTGACATGATGTTGTTAGCTGGTTGCTTTGTAATCCTGAATGTGTAGTTGCTTTATAGGGTCTATGAGTTGTGTATTCAAGTATGTTTTTGTGGTAGT